>NC_000009.12:105341764-105493279 GCF_000001405.40 Homo sapiens
TATCTGTGTGAGTTGACACCAGCAGGTAAATTGTTCTCCAGTCTAACCAGTATTTCTGTAAAATCAGTTATTTTTATTCATCTCTAAATAACTCATTTTATTCATTCATTTATCTCCCTTATACATACTATCCAAGTGATTATTCATATCTCTTCTTCTCTTAAGCCCTCTTGTTTGTACTCTTTCCAAAACTTATGCCCTACAGAGAAAACTGAAACCATCTGGTGAATGCTCTCATCTGAGTTCTTATTTTCAGCAGGGCATGAATTCCATCTTACTTTCACTTTCCTTCTCTTCAGTCTGATGAACAGGCTACTTTCCTCCTTATTATAATTATTTTTGAAAATTCAAATAACACATACGGTAGTTCTCCCTTATCCATAGTTTTACTGTTCAATTTCAGTTATCCATGGTCAATTGCAGTCTGAAAATATTTAATGGAAAATTCCAAAAATAATTCATAAGTTTTACATTGTGCACTTTGCTTAGTAGCATGATGAAATCTTGCACGGACCTGCCCCATCCCACCCAGATACAGATCATCCCTTTGTCCAGCATATCCACACTGTGTATGCTACCCACCAGTTAGTCTCTTAGTAGCCCTATCAGTTATCAGATCAAAAAGACATAGCATATAGAGGGTTTGGTACTATCCACAGCTTCGGGCATCCACCGAGGGGTCTTGGAATGTATTCCCATGGATCAGAGGGAACTATGTACATTGTAGTGGGAGAGGAGAATCTCCCTCCTTCAGCTTTCATCTCAGCCCAGCCATACCAAGACAGGTGGTGAAGGGAAGGGGAAGACAATGCCTGCTCAGACAGTTCTTCTCCTTTCTCTCTCCCCACTCTAATTCTGACGCAGCATCTCTGGTCCATAGACCACCCTTCACTTCACTCCACTGTCCCCATTGTTCAGCATGGGCATCTGAATTGGAATAGAAACATCAGACGTAAGCCCTGAGTTTTGTTTCAACATACCATTTATTGGTAGCTATTGTATGCCATGGACTGCACCAGATGCTTTGCGTATTGTTTTGATTTTTGCACTTGCTATCTAAGTTCTAAATGGCAGTTTAGAAATGAGCACAATCTTCCAAGTGTAGTGATGCGTGCCTGTATTCCCAGCCTACTGAGAGGCCAAGGCGGGAGGATCACTTGAGCTCAGGAGTTCAAGGCCAGCCTGGGCAACATAGCAAGATCCTTGTCTCTAAAAAAAAAAAAATATATATATATAAATAAATAGAAATGAACATAACCTGTGAGTAAGTTAGGGGCTGACTATAGATTCTCAGTGCTAATAGTTCACATGGAATTTTTATTACCGTTTCCATTATTCTTATCAAAGTGTTTTATAATACATGTTTTATCTTCCCTAACACAGTAGTAAAGTCTGGCAGAAATCTTATTTTCCTTTTGTTTGCCTCCCATTTATAGTATGTGGAAAAAGCACTCCCATTTATGAGTGCTTCTTCAATGTACTATATTTTGAAAAAAAATTTGAGAGCTTTATAATCTGCCCTTGAGATAATGTTCACATTTTGAGTAGAGCCATGAAGCTTGTGTTTTCTTAATGATTACTGTTTAGCCATTAAAAACTTTAACAGATTATGTGATCTATTCAGATAATGCTAATTGTGAATACTAATAAGTCTTTTTGATTATTGTTATCTGGTTGTTAGATTAATCAGTATCAATAGATGATCAGTATATTACCCTTTTTCTTACCAGTCAGTATGAATAAAATTTAAACCCCAGAGTAATTATGTATTCTTTTTAGCACAGTAAGTCAAAAGATTTGACTTGATATCATTTATAAATGAATGAAATGATCAACTCTAGCAACCGAATTAATTGTCTCCAAGTCAGAGATCAGCAATGATGCTTGGTTGTTTAAAAAGAAGGAAGATCCTTACATTTGATAATGCAGTTTAAACTAATTCTTTCATTCAACAAATACTTAGTACCCATTAAGTATGCATCAGATACAAAGTACAGTCCCCACATTTAAGGAGTTTGCAGTATAGTTGAGTCAGAATTCTCCTTTTCCTCCACAACACCTAGTAGAAGTCTTGTACATAGATGTTCAAAATTAATTCACTCAGCAAATATTTATTATGTGTGCCTAGTGTGTGCCAACAGTGGTTGACAGACGATGCCACATTCTTACCTGGCTAATTTCTGTAGGTGGATGCTTCTTGGGAATTGCAAATATGTCCATATTTTTCATGGGTTACTAGGAATTAAAATTGGAAAATTATCTTCCATTCTCCCAGCATGTAGTGTTTCTTAATTAGTGAAAAAGAGGTTAAATTCATTAGACATCACAAGGCAATGGAAATCTTTCATAATAAAAACTGTTCTGCATTGAGAGACTTTCTTATTAATTGCAAATTTTTAAATCATATTTTAAGGAATATTTTTCCTTAATTTTAATCTATCCTGCAAATATTGTGGTGGTAAATTAAACAAAATTTTAAAGCAAGAAAAATTAGCCCCCAGCATAGAAACTCTTTGTTTTGTATCTTTATTTCAAATAATGTGATGTTTTAAACCATTGGTTCACAATTAAAAGTGCTTTTGCCTCCTCAAAGATAATTGGCAATGTCTGGAGACATTTTTGGCTGTCACACTGGGTGAGAGCTTAGGGGGAGGCTACTGGAATCTTGTGGATAGAGGCCAGGGATGTTGCTAAACATCTTGCAATGCACAGGACAGCCCCCTACAACCAAGAATTGTCCAGCACAAAATGTCGTAATACCAAGATTGAGGAATGTTGTTTTAGGTAGTATATTTGTAGCAAATGGTGAAAAGCATCCGAACATTGTATATAACATATAACACCAAAACATAAGATATTAAAAACAGTTATTTCATTTTTTCTCCACTCAGGATATCTGTTTTATTCAACAGAAGGCTTTGGATGACATCTATGTATCAGGAAATATAGGTTCCAGACATTTCAAAGGCATAAGGTTCGAGTTCTCAAAGAGTTTGCATTATAAAAATAGAGATGATATATAAACAAAAAATTACAAAAGAATATGCCATGTTTTATCATAGAGCTAAGTAGTAAATAGCTTTGTTGGGTTGGTCAGAGAAGGCTTGACAGAAGAGATGAAGTTTGAGTAGTGTGTAGAAATTCTGCTCAGACGTCAACACTCAGGTGCTAGCTGGGAAAGGACAGCGCAAGCAGAGGGAACAGCATGTGTGAAAGCCTGGAAGCTTGTTAAACAGCAAGCATTGATTGTATGTTGTTTATTATGTTGAGATGAGTCTGGAGTTTTAGGTAGAGACCTGCTTTAGGAGGACCTTGAATCCAGGATATTTGGACTTCATCCTGAGGATAGAGATATGATATGACTAATCTGCATTGTACAAAGACCATTCTGATGGTTATATGCAGAATGGAGATGAGAAACACTTTACAGTATTTTAACTGACACAGTAGGAGGTCATGAAGGTCTGAGATAACATAGGAAGGTCTAATGTCAGGATGTAGTATCTCTTGAATGGTATAGGAAAACAGTAGATAAAAAAATGTAGGATAACTTGTATGTTTCACGGATGTTGGAACCATTAGCCAGGACAGAAAATATAAAATCAGAAAGTACCTGGTGGAACTAATTTTTCTCCAAAGATGTTCTTTTTGAGGTATCTGTAGAACGTATGTTTTTTGGCCCAGGAGTTTATTGAATACTTGCCCAATTATGAGTATTAGCAATGGCACAAAGGAAGCATGGCAGCTTAAGGGGCAAAGAATTCCACTTCTAAATATGCCAGTGATTGTGTTTAAGGCCTTGGAAATATTACTTTTTTTTTCATCTGTAATGTTTGGAGTGTGGTGATGGAAACATACCTCTTAGGGGAGTTGATATAACTGATACTGAGCTAAAGAATAATAAATTAAGACTAAATAATTGACTATTATACAGCATTTGAAAAATTGTAGTAGTTAAACATTTTGGGGGCCATAGCAACCATTTACCATGATAAATGTTTATACACTAAAGTTAGGTTCCTAAGATCACTCATTTTGGTAGTCTTTGAGTAACATCGGCTGAGTTGCATGGATTGCCTCTGGTGTGCTTTAGATAAGCTTTTGTTCTTAGTTTTCTACTTTTCATTACTCATGTATAACTTTTACCTGCTTTTGCATTAGAAGGAAAACTTTGTCTTACTGGTTATATCCAAACCTCTTGTGCTAAGTATTTTTTATACTTTCACTGAAAAAAAAAAAAAAAACACATACTACCTTCAAAATGTTAACTGAAAATGCCTTAGCTAATGAACATGAAAAGAAAAACAGTTGTAAAATGTTTGCTGTTACTGCATTGTTTTAATGTTCTTCATTGAGGCTTCTCTGTTCATCAACCCTTTGAGCAGGAAGCAGTATAAGGTTTCTTATGATTATTACTACTAACACATTGTAAAGATCTTTTTCCTTTAATCCATTTAGTACAGGATCTATTTAGTACTGGCCTGTGTCCTAGAATACCATCAGAGATAAGGCTATTATCCTTTCATTGAGTATTATCCTGGGAAAGTATTTATAAAATTGAACTCCATTGCACCTGCTGACCTCCTTTTTTAAATGAAGAAGGGGTGGGGATAGAGATTATGCTAACTGAATTCAGATGAAGCAGTGTATTTGCCAGCACTGACACAAAGTGCTTTAGTTAGGGCCTTTTGTTTTGTGCAAATCGATTCCATCTTGGACTCTGAAAGAAATAAGTTGACAATTCAGATCAGGAAGTTGATAATCACATTGGGTCCTCTGCACTTATTGGCGCAGTTGCTATTTTTCATGAGCAATTCTGTACTAGGACTCCTAGCTATTTCAGGATTAGTCTAAAATGTTTGTTTGCCATTATTGTCATGTTTTCTGCAAAATTGCTATAAATGTAATCTAGTGGCATTATATTCAAGTATGAAAGACAGTACTCTTAGAAGAGTTAAATATTTAATATTCATGCTTAGCTTTTTAAAAAATAGATCATTAAAATGGAAAAGAATAGTCAAGCACAATTTTTAAAACTTAGTTTCTTATTGAGCCTACCTTAAGCTTAAAAAGCTTGAAGAACAGTGCCATGTAACTTGTAATTATCGCTTTAAAAATATTTTGCATTGTCAGATTACTCAGATTATCATTATATAAAATATATGCTACATGCACTCATTTCAGTATGCTATTAAGGCTCACATATTTAATCACTTAGGTTTTTTGCTGGTTTGGGGCAGCATTGCTAAATTAAATGGTGGTTTGTGCCTTTCTAAAAATTATTTTGATTGATAGGACAAGATATAAATGAAATAAATTTGCTCCCAATTTTGTTGTGCCATTAAATCAAGCTATATTCTTTTTTCTATGTTCCCTTCCAGTTCCTTCTCATATGGTCACATGCCTTTTCCATAATTAACTCAGTGTTGCAGTCTGCTGTTCACATTATATTTTAAGATTTTTCCATGGTGGTACAATATAAAAGTTCAGTATCTTCATAATACAAATGCAAAGCTATTCTGTTTATTTAATAATAAAGTATTTGACCAAATTAGTAATCTGGTACGAACCTCAGTTAATCAAATATAAACAGTTTATGTGATGAAATGCAGCAAAATTAGAACTGGAGCCTGGGTCTCCTCACTTAACAATATATTATACAATGAACCTTCCAGTATTCTAGTTGCTGTATTTTAAAATTAACGGATCAGGAAAATAAGATGTATATTGGATTTAGTGGACTTTATCCATCTCAATTATCTATACTAAGGAAATCAATGTATATACCAGCTTTATAGAGTTATAGTAAATTATATAACACATAAATGTATTATGTAAATTTTACATTGTGTACATTTTACATATATTAGATATGTGTTGGCCATATAATCAGAAAAATTAATTTTTTTTTGCATAGCCAATCTAAAGTTGAATTTAAGCTGTCTTAAACTCTGAAAACTAGGAATCACTTTTATCAATTTATCAGTTTTATCAATTTTTTCAGTTTATTTACAGTTAGGAATGTTTCCTGCTTTTTAAATAAGTAATGTATTATCTGAATTTACATGTGTTATATGCATTAATTGTAAGCATTTAGTAATTGAAAGCATAGGAAAAACAGGCATAATGTGTAGCTGAGCACAGGCTTTGTAGTGAAAGAGATGTGGTGTTTAATCCCAGTTCTACTCCTACTAGCTCTGTGTTCTTAGGCAAGTTATTTACCTTATCTCTTAGCCTCTATTTCCTTCTCTTTAAAGTAGGCTTAATAATACCTGCCTTACAGAATTATAGTAAATTGTATAATGCATAAATGTCATCTTGCAGAGAACCTGACACTCAATAAAGGTAGTTCTAGTACTTATTGTTATTACCTTTAATATTAATTAAAATTTGTACATGAATTACATTAATAGTAATTTTAGAGAAGAATCAGTTTTAAATGATTGAGGACTTATAATATGGATCAAATCAGATTTTTATGAATTCTATAATGTTTGGAAAGTTGCATATGTTGAATAATACAAAATTAAAATGAATAGTAAGAGAATTTTTTCAGACTGTTCTGCCACCTAACATAATTTTTCTTTCAACAGGTTCAGCCCTATGTAGCTACAACCTAAAGCCTTCTGAATACACTACATCTCCAAAATCTTCTGTTCTCTGCCCCAAACTACCAGTTCCAGCGAGGTAAATTTTATTGCAAAGTTGTTAACTTGTGACTGTTGTTTTTGTAGGTAAATTTTAAACAATATATGTTATTCTGAGAAAATAGTCATTTGATACCTGTTGGCCAGGTCCAATACTTTTATTAAAAAAATTTTAAAGTAGCAATAGAAATGACATTATATATTTAATATTTAAAAACAACACATAGGCAACCAACTTTTCTTGTTCTGACATATTTTAAATTTCATTTCTTTTAGGGGCTTGCTTTTTTTGTTTTTATTTTCATGCCATAATTTTTAAGTGCACAAAACCACTGAACTGCTGTAAAATCTGCAACAAACTTAGAAACCAAGTCTCACAATCTCCAAAGAGTTTTTTTGATTTATCCTAGTAATATTTACTGGGATTGTTTTAAATTTATTTTGTAAATTTAGAAAGTCTGCCAGTGATTATTCCCCATAGTTTCTTTCAGGTTATATTTTTTAGGTAACATTCTCTGTATTAGGTTGTTTGCTATATCTTATCCAAGGTCTTCTTCAACAAACATTTATTATTAAGTACCTACTGTGCATGATGGATACAAAGATGAAACAAGAAATGTTCTTTGGAAGGATCTCAAAGTAGTGATAAGTAAAGCAACATTTAAAATTATAAATAGATTTTTTGAAAGGAAATGAATTATCAAGCATTGTAAAATATATGCTCAGAATTAGGTAGGTATACGTATCTGTATATGTGTGTATGTATATTTGTGCACACACACACCCCCACATACTTTGGAGTGTTGGTCAGATCACAACCTTAGTGTATATTGCCAACTGTGTGTAACATGAGTCAACTTCTCCAGGAAAATGTACTTGAGGCCACTTTAATTGTATCTCAATATATTATAGGAAGCTGTTGTATAAAAAATTTTGAGACTCATGTCTACTTTCTTTTGGATTACTTATGGGTGTAACTTGGGTTTTATTAACTTGAATTTGAATTTTTCTGTTGAAAGTAGAAAAAAGATATATCAGTTAAATATATTTTCAGCTCATTAATCTTGTCAAGTTGCTATTGAAAAATCAAAATTTAAAGCCTGTAGACATAAAACTAAAGGGACTATTTTAAAAGATAGTAAGAGAGACTTACAAATTATGGCCTTAAACCAACAGCTACGGAGATTACATTCATATAAATTGAGAATATTAGGGAGGCTGTGGGAGTAAAGAAAAGGGGATCCTTTGAATAGTCTTAGGAGAAAATTTATCCATATAAAAATTAGAAAAGCTCTATACCCTTATCTATCCAACTGGTAAAGTCTGTTTTAAATATATTCTTTGAATATAGAATCATGCTCTCAAGATTAAAACATATTATGACAGTATAGCCAGAAAGCCTGGGTGTGAGAGGGAGGTCTCTGCTCCTGTGTAATAGGGGCAGGATGTCAGGTGGGGGCAGCTCAGCTCATCCTGCACATCCTTCCCCGCCTCTGACCTCTGATGCCACTATGTTGAGGACTGCCTGTTCCTGGTTATTTTGGGTTTTCCAGTTTTTGGTACACACATGCATCTCACAATGTCCTAGGGGTATTCACTGGAAGACAAAGAATAGTATTAGGGGAGAAGATTTTAGAGATGGACAGAAATGGCTTCTAACAAGGTCATCATCTGATATCTCACTAATCTAAAATGCAGTGCTGAACCTATACCATCTGAAAACTGACGGCATGCTGTGTTTATGCTGTGTTTAAAGATCCTTATGTTTTACTTATTTTAGTGCATCACAGTCTAAGTATGTTATCACTTTTGTCTGAACTAAGCCAGTTGGAAAGTAAAAGAGAAGAACATTTGATAGAAAGAAGGCAAATCTTGTAAATACCAGAGCTATATAGTATTAGATAAACAAACTGAAAGGATCTGAGAATAAGAATAAATTTGTTTTAATAAAAAGACTTGAGGCATCACCCCATTCCACCCATCGTTGTATTAGATACCAAGTCTCCAAAGATGAGTAAGACCTAGTCTCTGTCTTTAAACTCATAGTCTAGTAGGGACTATGTTTTTGGTGACTTTTTTTAATGGCAAAAGACCAGCACCAGGCAAAACTATGAGGCAGGCAAGTACCCCTCAGCATCCTTCACATCTCTTTTGGTGTCCTTCTAGGAGCATACTACTGGGACGGAAGGACCTGAACTTTGAGATAAGTCTGGGGTGAATTCCATATAATTACTTTCTGTTTGTCACCTTGAGCAAGTCTCTTAACCTCTCTGTAAACCAAGTTTCCTCATGTGTGAAGTGGGAATAGTCATACTCCCCTCAAGGATTTGTAAGAATTAAACAAGATAATATACATTAAACATCTGTGTGCTTGGCACTTGACTTAGGAGGTATTTCTTTAAACTTCTAGAACCTCTTCCTTTGGCCCATCTTTCTTGGGTATCCAGGGGCCTTCTACAGCTAAAAGCAGCACCTGTTTTAGAGAAAAGCAATTGTAAACTAATTTTCAATGAAGCATTAGTGACACATAATAACCAGATGATTACCATTCCTAAAAGCTTTTGAATTTTAAAAACAAATGCCTAGAAAGAGTTGTATTTTATCCAAATTCATAACTCTCTATTGGTGAAATGCCAACCATGGTGGCAATATGGGGAATAGCTAGCCAGTATGCTTACAGTGCTTTTAGAAATAGCCAGAGAGAACAGCAATAGTAGAAACAGATTACATAAATTCAGTTTATTCATCATGTATTTGGGCACCTCTGGATGCCAGAAAGGTTACTAGGTGCTGGGGAATTAATGATACAATAATGTAGAGATGACAAATTAATAGCCAAAGGCCAGATGCAGTGGCTTATGCCTGTAATCCCAGCACTTTGGGAGGCCAAGGCAGGTGGATTGCTCGAGGCCAAGAGTTTGAGACCAGCCTGGCCAACATGGTGGAACCTCGTCTCTACCAAAAACACAAAAATTAGCTGGGTATGGTGGTGCATGCCTGTAATCCCAGCTACTCAGAAGGCTGAGACATGAGAATCGCTTGAACCTGGGAGGTGGAATTGTAGTGAGCCAAGATTGTGCCACTGCACTCCAGCCTGGGCAACAGAGCAAGACCCTGTCTGAAAGAAAGAAAGAAAGAAAGAAAGAGAGAAAGAGAGAAAGAGAGAAAGAGAGAAAGAGAGAAAGAGAAAGAAAGAAAGAAAGAAAGAAAGAGAGAGAAAGAGAAAGAAAGAAAGAAAGAAAGAAAGAAAGAAAGAAAGAAAGAACCAAGAAAAAAATGTTATCTGTTCATATTTTTCAATGGAGGATTCAAGGATAAATTAACATTTACAAATCATCTACTACATGCCAGCTATCCCACAGTATCTCTCATATATATTATCTCATTTAACCTTCACAAAAATCTGTCAAGATATTGCCCCCAATTTGTAGATGAGGAAAAAGAAGATGAGAGAGGTTATCTAAAGCCACACCACTAATTGTTGCAAATTGGAATTTGAATCCAGGATGTTGTAGTCTATACCACAGTGAGTGTTCAACAACAACAAAGAGTATAGGAGTGAAAGAAGGCCGGGCACAGTGGCTCATGCCTGTAATCCTAACACTTTGGGAGACCAAAGTGGGAGGATCGCTTGAGTCTGGAAGTTCAAAACCAGCCTGAGCAACATAGCAAGACCCTCTCTCTCTATAAAACATAAATAAATGAATAATAAAAATGTTTTAAAAAGGGTGAAAGAAGAGAAAAAAGAAACACCACTCCATGTTTAGACTCGTAATTCCTGCCTTTACTGTACTATAGAGATATTGCCAGAATACTTTATTGTTATACTTACTTAAATAAAACTTTGGCTAGAAATCATGTGTAATTGTTTATTTATAACCTGAGGTTCTAGAGTAATTATATGAGATGCAGACCCCTGCCTTCTTGTGAAGGCAAATGGGCAAGTGGTATTAGGCACTGTTTGTCATCATACTTTAGGGAGCTTATTAACTGTGATGATCTGAACTTAAAGGTAAATGGACAGTATGTTTGCCAAGGTAAGATATAATTTTCATATGAGGGACTAATTAAAAATTTTTAAAAGACTCATTATAAGTTCATTTTGTTCTTGTTGACTGCTTCAGCAAGTAAAACAGCATCACTTCCTAATGTGACTACATCGACTTATTAAAGATTCAATATTTGGTGGAAGGTAGAAAAACTTACTGTATATAGAATACTTTATGCTTGTCCTTTTAATTAAGAAGCACAAAATGTGTCATTTAGGTAAGATACTAAAGTAGAAATGATCTCGTAATACTAGCTCCTCAAAAGTATTATTTTCTCAGAGGTATATGAAATCGGTGAATTCACCTCCACCGAAATTCATTAAATCACATGGGATTTAAACGCTAAAATATAAAACAAACCATTTCAATGACTCGATTATTACTTAATTTTTTTTGATAAGAAAACAATTGAAGTATCAAAACCCTGTGGCTGGCAGAGTTGTTTTTGTTTGGGGAAAAGTTGAGAAAAAGAATGACAAATAAGGAAATCTAGTTTGTTTAGATTTCAAACAAGGGAATCTAGTGCTTTTTACTTTAAAGCTAAGTATTTCATCTTATTTTTGAATAATGTGCCTATATATTATTTCTTCTTATGTTTGCCTTCTATTTTTGTTATTCATTACCACTAGGAACAGATTTTGACTATCAGCTAGACAATGTAGTTAATCAGCATGTGCTAATTTTATACCTTTAAATTTAGAGTATCAGGTTGTTGTTTTTTTTTAACTGACATAGATTGAATTTTGGTGCAAAGGACTGTTGTTATTTTGCTCCAGTTCTTTGAAGAATACTTATGAAAGTACTCTTTCCAATTGGCCAACTGTTAATAAACAGTGTAAAAATGTTTGAAAGGTTAAGTTCAGGGCAGATATTACCCAGCATTTCCTCCTAAATAAAAATGAAGGATTTTCATTTTGAGAGTTCTGGTCATTCTCTTTTAAAATCATCTATTATCATCCTAAATTTGAAAAGAAAAAAAACACTGAACATATTGGGCATCCTGTTCCTGTATAATTTTGTATCATCGATTTATGGGTGCCCTCTTGGATGGTGATGATGATGATCTGAAGAGACTTACAGAGTGCTTACTCCTACTCTTTCAGCTAACCAATGGAGAAAGTAAGAGAGAGAGATGGAGTTACAGGCAGGGTGCAAGGTTAGAAGAATTGGGGCTTTTATAGTTGCCTAGCAGGAAAAAGAAAACAGGAAGGCAGGGCCGAGAAAAATAGTGGGTACTGAAAACAAGAAAAAGACATCAGTATCCTTAAGTGAATATATTTTATGTTCAAGGTTGGAGGCAAGTGAGTTAAACAGAGACTAAATCACACATGATAGGGTAATAAATAAAGAGGATGGAGTTATAGATAATCATGAAACAGAGAGGATTTTAGTTTTGAAGGATAGAGAACCAGGCTTTATTTTAAAAATATGGTTAGAAGAGTCCTTAGGCAGAGATATTAACTTGCAGAGATGGCATCCAGACAACCTCAGAAAAGAGGCTTCATCATGACAAAGTTGTCAGTTTAAAGGTTTCTGTCACACATCAGCTTCTATTGACTTAGAAATTTACAGTTAATCCTTTTTTTTTTTTTTTTTTTTTTTTTTTTTGAGACGGAGTCTCTCTCTGTCGCCCAGGCTGGAGTGCAGTGGCGCGATCTCGGCTCACTGCAAGCTCCGCCTCCCGGGTTCACGCCATTCTCCTGCCTCAGCCTCCCGAGTAGCTGGGACTACAGGCGCCCGCTACCACGCCCGGCTAATTTTTTGTATTTTTAGTAGAGACGGGGTTTCACCGTGTTAGCCAGGATGGTCTCGATCTCCTGACCTCGTGATCCGCCCGCCTCGGCCTCCCAAAGTGCTGGGATTACAGGCGTGAGCCACCGCGCCCGGCCAGTTAATCCTTTTTGATTCTCATAATATTTTTAACTAAATCTACTTCACTTAAAGGTATTCTATAATTTAATATCTTTTTGCATCATTAGTGAAGCACTTTTTGGTTAAAAAAACAATTATTTGAATACCTGTAATTCAAGCATTTCTTAGAATGCTGTGGCTTCCTGCGCTTTCTGATACAATATCAAACCTTTGGCATTAACTTTCACTAATACCATTTTGGAGGTTGACACAAATACACAGGGATGCAAGAGGCAATTTTAAAAAACAAATATTCATGTCATATTGTTATGTCATCATTTTTTGATATATTTGCTAAAGCAAGACTAAGGCAAGGCTAGATCTTTAAAATTATATTATTTTAACGTTCCACCAAATATGACAGCATGAAAGATGTTACTTTTTCTTACCATCAATGGTGCTCATTTACTAACATTTAAGGGAAACTAATACATAGTGTGCTTATATTCTTATTTGAAAAGAAGCATTTTTCGAGGAAGGAAACAAGGATAGTGTTTTGCTTCAGGTCATACAAAGTTGCTTTGCTGAGATTAGAAACCTTGTAGTGCCCAACCATGTAATTTTATCCACTCATTGGACCAAAATATAGTGCCAACCAAGACTGAGGAACACATTTGTATCATTCCAGTTAAAAATGTAGTTGTAGCTGGGACTTAAAGTTCTGTGAACATATTTTCATGGATACCATTTAAAAAAAGTTGTAAGAACAATTCTGGAAATGTGGGATTCACGTTAACGATGGCTAAATTTTAACATAATGCACATATAAGTGTGTATTTATGCATGGACATACATATGGCTCTCATAGAATCCGAGTAAATCACAACCAAAGGCATATTCGTAGTTCTTTGCTTAAAATCTCTTATTGATTAGTGTATACTGTCCTCTCAGAAGTTGAACCATGTTGTAACAAAACAGGTTAATGTCACAGTTTACACATAGCTCTAGTCTTTCACAAGTAAAAGTTTCAGTCCATATAAGCCTAATATAAATGACTAAGTAATTGGTTATTTTACATCTTTTTAGACACAGATAATCTTAGATTAATAGTAACTGATAAAAAGAAAATAGCCCAGAATTATGTGATCCTAACAAGTCCAGTATTTTTCACTTGTTAATTATTTTCTGTTCTCATGATTATGTGTAATCTTTTATGCAGAGATATCACATTAGATATACTTTTCCCCTTATATTATTACATTATAAGCATTTCCATATATTAGTACTCATGGTTACTGTTTTAAATAGCTGCCTATTATGCTGTTTGTTGATGTCTCAGCATGACTTTGTTTATATGAGAGGTATTAAGCTTATGCTGTAAACACCTTTATTAATCTGAGATTTTGTATGCTGTTTTGTTAGAGGAAACATTCTATTAATGGTGGCATATTTCAAGTAAAAGCATGTGCTTTTTATTTTTAAATCGCTTATGGCAAAAATTCATTTTCAGTTCAATAAAGTATGTGTTTGTAAGCTTTGTCATCTGCCCCTTGACTGGTAGATGTGCAGGCTAAGGAGTTTTAAGTGTTTGGTTTTGCTTTTGGTAGTTGTGTGTGTGTATGTGTGTGTGTGTGTGTGCGTTTCTTTTCAGAAGGGGCGGGTAATGTCTTCTGTTGGAACATGCACTCCACCCTCTTTGATAAGGCTTGTGGTAAGATTTGCATCACTACCCATGACAGTCATCCTCATAGCATTAAGCACACAGCTCTTAGCTCCCATAATGATGTGTGGAGGGTGGAGTGTATTGCAGCCATATTCACCTTTCATTTGTGTGTTTGATGTGGCATTTATATTAAGTAGGAGTAATTTTTTTTCTGATTTTTTTTTCTTGTGTCACCAGTGCACCTATTCCATTCTTCCATCGCTGTGCTCCTGTGAACATTTCCTGCTATGCCAAGTTTGCAGAGGCCCTGATCACCTTTGTCAGTGACAATAGTGTCTTACACAGGCTGATTAGTGGAGTAATGACCAGCAAAGAAATTATATTGGGACTTTGCTTGTTATCACTAGGTAATTGTTTTTCTCATTATTAGCTATTGCATAGTATTGCAGAAGAAGACTGTTTTGTCTTTTAGCCAAAATATGAATACAACTGGGGATACTTGTAAAATGTTTAACTTCCCATAGCCAAAATCATTGTTTCAGATTATATATAGTTAAGAATATGTACATATAAGTATGTATATATATCTGAAACTCATTCCCTTCTTTTTTTCTTTCATTGGAGAAAACTAGTGTTTTCCCAAACGTTGTTTACTAAGTCTATAGCTACTTTAATATGAGAGCAAGAGGCTTCTTTTAATGAATCAACAACCCTCTGTTTTTAGTTATGATTCCTAAAAGGTGTATTTACTTATACAGGAGGCGACATATTCTCTTATATATTCCCATTTAAGAACACAGATTTCTGATAGATTACTTTTGAAGTATGTAATTTTTTTTTCATTGCTACAGTGCATAGTATCAGTGTATTGCTGGAAAAATTAGGAAATCTCCACCTATTAGCCACTGAGTTTTCTAGTCAATAAATAGATAATAAATCAAACAAAAATGTTATTTTCAAGATTAAAACTCCCTATATTATTCTAGAACTATATGTACCTTATCAGAATGTATAGGCCTTCTTAGTTGGGAGAAGTAAACTATGGTAGGAACCAACAGCTATTTCATTATATAAGTAAACTTAGTATTTATGCCTGTTAACAATTATAGCCATTGAGAAGATACAAGCTGTATTTCCGTCTTTCCTGTCATTAGAGAGTATTTTCTTTTTGCTTAGGTAGTACTTGACTCAATTGAAATAATGCTGTCCATATGAAAATCTATTTCTGTGATATTTGAAAGGCTCCCATCTGTTTTTGGTTCCTGTACATTTATTGCAAAAGTGAGTACCTTAATAATGTTACCTAGACACAAATCCCAACCATTTATTTGGCTTTGCAAGTGGCCCAAAGAAACTTAACTGTTAGTCTAGCTTTATATCAAAATTATTTGGTTTTTGAAATAGTTAAAACTTTAACCAAAAACTAAAGATCCAATTAAAAAATAGTGCCAATAATGCTAAGCCATCAGAATTCTATTTTTTATTAGAATGATTCTCTTTTGAGGCTTAAGAGTGTAATATAATCTTAAAAAATCTTTGTTCATTTGTTTGTGGAATGGGCCTTTAGATAATTAAGAAATTTATAAATTATTATTTCAGAAACGTATTTCCCATGCAAGGGTTAAATCTTTCCTTTCTTCTTTAAGATTTTTACTCAGGATTATAGCACATCGGATTTAGCTTGGGGCAGGTAGAAGAACTGGCTGTATAACTCAAACAGCTTTGCTCCTTTTTGAGGAAGGTCTCCTCACCTGGGACCCCTGACCTCAGTTGAGAAATTAGACAGAGGAAATTCGGCCATAGTAGGCTTCAGGATGTTATTCCACAGAGTCGGACCATCCTTTGGAGTTCTAGAGGAGAAACAGCCAGAAAAGGATAAGATGCCATTTAGCTTCTTGACTGACTGTCAGAGAAGTTAGTTGCTCCTGAAATACATAGATTACTCAATAAAGCGTAGCTCCTAATTTAACTGATCTCTGTCTATGTGTAGTAATTTTTCTTGTCACCAACATGACATGTCATTCTCTACACTTTGTGTGCTGGCATGTATGTTTGCATGTCTGATGTCTTCCCCGTGGTGAATCCACAACAGTCTTGTGCTGTTTTTGAGTCACCATGTGCATTTGCATGTATTTTTTTCTGTAGTTTATAAACCCACAGTTAGGTGACTTTGGTTTCGAGTGATGCTATTTAAGTGGTACAGGTAGCAGAGTCAAATACAACAGCAGCTAGTTTCCTTCCTTATCTAAATTGTGGTCAATAGCAACAGATTATTTCCCTGGGGAAAAAAGCAACCATTTAAAGCGTTTTTATTTGTATTTACCTGCATTTTCAAATAATATTCTATATGTTCTCTATCTTCCCTGCAGTTCTATCCATGATTTTGATGGTGATAATCAGGTATATATCAAGAGTACTTGTGTGGATCTTAACGATTCTGGTCATACTCGGTTCACTTGGTAAGCTATTTATTTCTTTGTTTTCTACCTCAGCCTCTTAACTACTTTGGTAGAAAATAGAAATATAAAGAAGAAAATAAATTATATTTTCACAAGCTATATCCTCAAGGAAGACTGTTAATTTTTGCCTTAAAATTTCTTATAATTATATTTGCCCCTCCCCTCATTTCATCACTGTTGGCATTTGAAGTTGAGACCTTTTTTCTATGCATATGTATATAAACATATGCAGTTAAATTTTACCAGCTGAATATGAAACCTTTTAGTAATGGAATTTGTTCTCATTACATTTATCATCTTCACTGGTATGTTTGGTCTTACTGTTCTCATCTGTTCTGTCTTTCTTGAAATTCATTCTTTCTTGTTTTCTCTCTTTGCTACACGAACTATGTTTTCTTTGGTTATCTTCACCCTTGTTTTGATGGTATACGTTACATTTTCACTTCCACAGTTGTTTTCAGAAAATATTCTTTAGACTACTGTGATTATTAAAGTCAGAAATAAGATGATATATGTTGAGTTCTTCCCTGCCTCCCTTAAATTTAACATAAACTTTCCTTCCTTTCATCCCCTACTCTCTTCTGCTCCCTCCCACTTTTCGCCCTTGTTAAATAGTCTGAGCTTTTGTACTCGGGTTATAATTAAAGTTAAAATATTGCTTTCACCTGCTGTATCTTTTTAAAACTCTTGTTTATCTTTGCCTTAAAAACTTTTATAATTATATTTACATTTACGTTTTCCTGGACTAGTTTTAGTAGGAACTACTGGTCCTTTTTCCATAAAGTAGTACAGAACTGCTAGTAAGGAAAACTAAATCAGTTATTTGGAAATAAATTTGAAGAAGTCTTCCTGAATGTAAAGGAAAATTACCAAAAAAGTAAACTGTTAAGTTAGAAGATGACAGCAGAAGAATAAACAATGACCTTAGGAGAAAAAAACCAATGGAACAGAAACAATAATCAAATACAGAAATAAAAAATTTTAGAATTGAAAAAGATTCCCCCAAAAGATCATAGGCAAATTTAATTAAGATTCAGAATTAGACAAAACTTTAAAACTCTAGATATGAATAGTGTTATAATGATTAAATTAGATCACATCTATAAAGGACTTAGCACAGTTCCTAATACAAATTTAAATTTTAATAATAAATACTGTCTACCATGGCTATTGTGAACAGCTTCCTCCTTGACATCATTATTTCAATTTCATTCTATTTTTTTAACTTCAGCTTTTCTCCTATAATTCATTTCTGTATGTAGGAAACATATTTTCTTCCATTTTCTGAATATATTAAACATTTTTCCAGACAATTTTCTTGTGCCTGCAAGACTTCAAAATGGAAACATTCCCTTGCTCTAAAATGTTTTTCACCAATTTCTGGTAGTTTTGATTTGTTTCCTCCTCTTCAACAGATGGAAAATTTGTACTTGGTATTTGCCAACAAATAGGTAATGGAATTTGCCTTTGATCTCATTAACTCTTGAGTGCAGATGTTGATGTACATCGACTTTGCTTCAGTTTTTTATATCCCAGACATTTATCATATCAGCCACACACACACATGTCTCTACTCTGAATCATCCATTTTTTCACTGTGACCTACAAGGCCTTACAGTGTGGTCTGGTCCGCAGCTACCTCTCTGCCCACATCTCTACCACTTTCCGCATTGCTCATTGCAGTAGCCACAATGGTCTTCTTTCTCTCATACTAGGCATGGTTCTACCTCAGTCTCTTTGAACTTTGCCTGGGACACTCTTTCCTTAGATAGTGTCATAGATTGCTCTCTGTCTTTGATTCCATTGCTCAGATATCATCTTACTAATACCAGTGAGGCCTTGCTTACCCATCTTATATAAAATTGCAAAGCTTTCCCTACCCAGACACTCTATATCCTTCTTACCAGGAGATCATTTTTTCTTTAGACTTAATATACTGTATTTTTCCTTGTTTTCTTATTTTTTTGTTTCCCTATTATTATATAAGTTCCATGAACAGCAAGAGTAAGAACTTGGCTTTGTTTACTGTTCTATCTCCAGCTAGAACAATAGGTGCTGTAGCATTCAAAATGCTGAATGGGTTGAAAGTAGGTATATAAGTCAGCTCTCATATGTGGAGGTAGGTTTGTCTCCCTCTTCAGTCTGGTTCTTTGAATCTCTCAACCGGTGTTGGAGATTTAAAAATGCTTATCCCTAGCACCCACCACTATCAGAGATTTCCTCTTTGTTCCTCCCTTTGGTGGGAACTGTTCTTTTGATTTGCATTTATTCATTGTACAAATACTTAATCAACTGCATTACTGTGTCAGTGCAAGTCACAGAGGTATCTGTGATGAGTACAACAGAGAAGATCCTTGCCCTCTTTAAGCTTCATTGATGTTTTCTGTGATGCTTATTTCCTTCCTCCAGCCTCCTCAGCTTAAATGCTGAGGCTCTTTCTTTGTGGTCAATTCCTGTCAGGGGTGTATGTTTCTACTGGCTCGCTCTTAGCTTCATAGTCAATAATAAATACATTTGAAGGAAGCTTATTTGATACACTGAAGGATTTATAAATGCTTAATGTGGAGGATGATAATAGAGCAATGGACACTTTCTTTATGCTGGCAAAAAGTTATAGCTATGTACTTCCCAGCCAAATGGATTGTCACTGCATTAGTCCCATGATGATCTGTAGGAAGGGTCAAGAAAATTGAGAATTTATGTTACACATTTTCTTATCCTAATTATTGCATTAACAGTTGGGTCTTTTGTCTCCAGGAGGCACAGGTGTACTATGGTGGCTGTATGCAAAGCAAAGAAGGTCTCCCAAAGAAACTGTTACTCCTGAGCAGCTTCAGATAGCTGAAGACAATCTTCGGGCCCTCCTCATTTATGCCATTTCAGCTACAGTGTTCACAGTGAGTTTAGGCTTTGGCGTGTCTTTCGGTTTTGTGTTTTTGTTTGCAGGAGATCATTAATGGAGCAGAAACTCAAATCTAGCTTTTGCATTCCTAACCCTGATCTCCAGTAGATAATATCTCTGTGCCATAGTGTATGAAACACTAAAAAGTCTCTTGAAGGCTTCCCTCATGGATGAGTGCTATTTGATGAAACATTTTTTCTACCCTGTCTGCTTTTTGAGAGAGGATTTTCACCTAGAATATTTACATTACCATTTGCTTACAAGAACATATTTCTTATTGTCATAAGATAATTACTTTTTAAAAATGGTTCCCTTTACTGTAGAAAAGTATGTTAAAAAATATATCATTCCATTTACTTGTTTGCTAATTATCTTCCCATTTGTCTTTCAAACTTTTCATTTAACTTTATGGCGTTATTTCAAAAATATAGGTGTGGTCAGGTACAGTGGCTTATGCCTATAATGCAAGCACTTTGGGAGACTGAAGTGGGAGGATCACTTGAGCCCACGAGTTCTAGACCAACCTGGGCAAGATAGTGAGACCCTGTCTTCACAAAAAATTAAAATCAGCTGAGCATGCTGGTGTGCACCTGTGGTCCCAGCTACTCGGGAGGCAGAGGTGGGAGGGTCACCTGAGCCATGATTGTGTCACTGCATTACAGCCTAGGCAACTGAGTGAGACCTTGTCTCCAAAATATATATGTGTGTTTGTGTGTGCGTGTGTGTGCGCGCGCGCGCGTGTGTGTGTGTGTGTGTGAGATTTGCTGCTTAGGTATTAAGCAATAAAATTACCAATTAACATGTGGTTAAATAATTTATATGTATACCTTTGGTTCATCATCGTCTTCTCTCTGAAAAAAGAAAAAAAATCAGTCTACTTCTAAGAGCAATCCCAAGCTTTTTATTGAGCATCAGAAACAAAAAATAAAGCCATCATAAAACCATTGGTGCCAAAAGATATTTGTTAGTTATTGTTATACAGATATTACAACAAAATATGAATGAAATCTCATTTTAGGTACAATTTGCTGTGCCAGCTGCTGAAGATGGGATGTGGGGGTGGGAGGAGGCAAAGGGTGAATCTGACACAGATCCCACTTTTAAGGAGCTGTTGGTCTAATAAGGAAGATACAAATAAAAACCTCGTTTTTGTGGTGTATCTGTTTAAATAAATAAAGAGTCTCATCCTGACTGACAGTATGTTTTGGTTCATAATGAGTGGCAAAGGGAAAAGGAAAAAAATTCTAGAATGTATTAATAAGTTGAGAAATCCTTTTATGTTTTGCTTTAAAGGTCACTTGGTAACCATAATATAAAATTGACAATAAATATTGCAAGAGAGATACTTACTGATAAAGTATTATTGAAATTCAAAGAATGCTACCTCCAGGTTTGGGGCTGAAGGGTTATGTTAAAAATTTCTACTATTTTCGGTTTCTGTTTTCACTACTTATAATAATAACTGAAACCATTCTCTCCATACAGGTGATCTTATTCCTGATAATGTTGGTTATGCGCAAACGTGTTGCTCTTACCATCGCCTTGTTCCACGTAGCTGGCAAGGTCTTCATTCACTTGCCACTGCTAGTCTTCCAACCCTTCTGGACTTTCTTTGCTCTTGTCTTGTTTTGGGTGTACTGGATCATGACACTTCTTTTTCTTGGCACTACCGGTAAGAAGATAAGCTTCTTTCTCTTAGTGACAAACGTGATTTGCATTCCAGTATTTTAGAACATCAGAGAGAGGTAATTCTTCAGACATTTGTTGATGAAGGTCCAATAGCCATCAGAACTTGTAGTGGTTATGGCTCCTCAACAACCTACTTCATATTCGTCTTTTTTTTTTGAGACAGAGTCTTGCTCTGTCACCCAGGCTGGAGTGAAGTGGTGCTCTCTTGGCTCACTGCAACCTCCGCCTCCCGGGTTCAAGTGATTCTTCTGCCTCAGCCTCCTGAGTAGCTGGGACTACAGGCACATGCCACCATGCCTGGCTAATTTTTGTATTTTTAGTAGAGACAGGGTTTCACCATATTGGCCAGGCTGGTCTCGAACTCCTGACCTCATGATCAGGTCAGGACGCCTGCCTTGGCCTCCCAAAGTGTTGGGATTATAGGCGTGAGCCACCGCACCTGGCCTTTTATTTTTTTTGAGACAGAGTGTCTCTCTGTCACACAAACTGGAGTGCAGTGGTGTGATCTCAGCTCACTGCAACCTCAGCCTCCCAGGTTTAAGCGATTCTCCTGCCTCAGCCTCCCGAGCAGCTGGCACTACAGGTATGCACCACCATGCCTGGCTAATTTTTGTATCTTTAGTAGAGACAGGGTTTCTCCATGTTGCCCAGGCTGCTCTCCAACTCCTGGCCTCATGTGATCCATCCACCTCGGCCTCCCAAAGTGCTGGGATTACAGGCGTGAGCCAGCGTGCCCAGCCCATATTCATGATTTTTTAGAACATCCTAGCAATGTAAGTCTAGATCAGGGAAGGCCTGAAATTGCACTCTAATTTTGAAATGATCATGAATTTGAAGTAAGTTCCAATACTGACTCAGACATTTAGATTCATTCTAAGATGAACCAGTGAATGCAATGTCACTCAGGAGTTACCTCAAATCCCAGGTATAGCCAAGGATCTACTTACTTCCTTGGGATTTTCTGGTTTCGAAATGATCTGACCCTAGCTAGAGCTCCAACTGATGATATAGTTCATAGTTAGACACTCAGACTTTCTTACAGCCGTACTGAGTATCAAAGGTTAAGCTTAAATGGAACTAATTGTAAAGAGTATCATAAGGATAGTAAACTTTTATGTAACTATGTAACTTATCTGTCCATTCAGCACACACACTTAGCAACTGAATATAATAATAATTTCTGTACTTTGCTAAGAAATCTGTAATGATTGGATAAATAATAGGCCTTGAAAAAAACTGAAGTGTTTGAAAATTCATGCTTAAATAATTGATAATATAAGAAGAGTTTTATTAAATATAACAACTTTTAAAAGCTTTATATGATGCCTTTGAGGACATCAAAATGCATAATAGTACAATTCTTAATTTCACAACTTTTCAAGTGATAGTTATTTTTGTCCCTTTATGAAATACCACACAGATCAGAAGGTTTGTGGCTTGGGGTAGGGACCTATTGCCTTCTACTTAACTGCCGTATTTCTGGATTTGTACTTTATGTGCTTCTTCTTTCCTTCCTTGATATTTTCCTAGGCAGTCCTGTTCAGAATGAGCAAGGCTTTGTGGAGTTCAAAATTTCTGGGCCTCTGCAGTACATGTGGTGGTACCATGTGGTGGGCCTGATTTGGATCAGTGAATTTATTCTAGCATGTCAGCAGATGACAGTGGCAGGAGCTGTGGTAACATACTATTTTACTAGGTAAGAATATGTTGTTATTAGAAAACTCGAGTTCATCTAAGGGATGGTGTCCGCAGGCTGGAGGGGAAGGGAATCAGACTGGGGCTGGCAGGAGTTTCATTTCTTTAACAAAAGAATTAGAAATGAATATGACAGAGTGTTATATATAGTTGATAATTCTGGGAGGTGGTCAAATGAGAGATTGTTGTTTTATTCTTTATACTTTTCTGCAGTTGTCTCATAAAATTTATTGCGATGTCACAAATTGTATTTAGCAGAAGAATAAATCTTATAGTGGTGCCATATGTACTTTTGCTTTATATAAAAGTCCATCAAAGGACAACAAGTCTTTTTAGTTTGTTTAGACCGGAACAAGTGTGAGTTCCCTTTGCTAACTTTAGAGCCAAATATGAAAGCTTTAGGTCTCATAATTTTCTATTATAATTAGATGCCAAGTCTAAATTTAACATCTTTTTAAATTCTGTTTTCTGATGACCCCATAAGTATTCACTAATAAAAGCTTTCAGAGCACAGTTTTATTTAACTTGAAGTATTAGAGCATCAGAACCCCATGAAACTACCATAGAGCAATGACATTAATTTTATATAGCATGTCTGTAGCATTTGTAATAGTTATATATCACTTGGCCATTTTGTCATAAAGCTAAAATAAGAATGATGAGCTGATTTTTTTTTTCACTGCGTTGGACTCTAAACCATACCTGTGTTTCCATCCTGATCTAGGCTTTGTTTTAATTGTCTTTTTGGTCATTTTTTAAATAGGGATAAAAGGAATTTGCCATTTACACCTATTTTGGCATCAGTAAATCGCCTTATTCGTTACCACCTAGGTACGGTGGCAAAAGGATCTTTCATTATCACATTAGTCAAAATTCCGCGAATGATCCTTATGTATATTCACAGTCAGCTCAAAGGAAAGGTAAGGGGAAAATGCATTTCTGTACTTTCTGTGGGCACATTCCAGACCTCAGTTCTGCATGTAGTAAAGCACCCAATAATGTTAAATACAAAGTTGTGTTTTCTTCAAAGTCTTTACAAGGCAAAATCCAGCCCTTCTCCCTTGTCTCCCACTCATGCACTCCATATGCTCTGGCAAAATTCATCCAGTCACTAGTAACTAAAAGTATCCTGTGCTGCTCTTCCTCTCTGTTGACTCACATACCTTCCTCCTTAGAACTTCTTCCCTTCCTTGACTGTGGGAATAACATGCACTTCAACTAGTTTAGCTCAAATTCTACTCCTTTGTAGAAACCTTTCCTGATTCCTCCCATCTCCCAAACAATGCTGTCTCTTTGTTCTCCACTCTCATAACACTTAGTATCTATACTATATTCTGATTCTAACCTTTTTTGTGTTTGGTATTTTTTTTCTCCTACTAGATTGTAAGTTCCTTGCAGGTGTTATAAACTTCACTGTATATGCAGTAGAGACTAAATAAATATTTAATTGAACTTATTAAAAATAATTCAGTCATTATGTTTTAAGGAGAAAGTGGACAAGTATGGAGGCTTTGAAGCATAAATTGTGATTTTTAAATTTTTATTTATTTTTCTAACGTTTGAAGTCTTCTATGTGACAGTTTGATTCTTTGGTTTTTTTATTATTTCCATTTTTCCCCCATCCAGGAAAATGCTTGTGCACGATGTGTGCTGAAATCTTGCATTTGTTGCCTTTGGTGTCTTGAAAAGTGCCTAAATTATTTAAATCAGGTAAAATATTTTAAAAATAAATCTAATATTTACTTTCAAAGATAGGTTCATTGTTTCTTCTCCCAAGATAAACTTAATTGAAAGATGTTATGTTTTTCTTGTGGTATTGTACATTGTGCCTTGATAAAGTATGTCTATTTCAATCATATTCTTATTTTTTAAATTAATGTATATGCTTACCAAGGCTCATTATTATTTTAATTTTTTCCAACTTTTAGGTTTAGGGAGTACATGTACAGATTTGTTACATATGTTATTATTTTTATTTTAATAAATAGATAAAACATCACTCTGGTTCGTCTTTCAGGAAAAACATTTATCTCTCATCCCTTAATTCACATTCCTTCATTTTTTAAGTTTTTCCTAAGAATCTGACTACTGTGGCTATGATTACCCTTTCATTTTTAAAAATGTTGTTTGAAAACTTCAGTGTAAAGCTGTTGTGACACTTTATCCCTCTTTGCAACTAGCTACTATCATTCGAACTAGTGTGCTCTCTATGCTGATACTTTTTTTTTTTTTGACCCAACTGCTAAACACTATGATATTGGCCTGGGAAATATTATCAAAGGAAGTACTACTTAATAAGGTTGAATGGAAGAATTGATATTTATAGGATAAAAGGGCCTAGGTGAATGGGTTAGTCCTCTATCTTTCTATATCTGAGGATCTGGGAGTCTCTGTGGGGCACTCCTTCCTTCTTTTCTTTATTTTTTTAAGTTACTTTTCCATTCCCTAAAAATCAATTCTAATGTATTAATGCCCTCATCTAATAGGCCAGAGATAAAATTGACTTTCTCACCATTTACTGCTAAGTGATTGAAGAGTAGCATTGCACTTTCCATTCACTCCAAGATAGTCACAGGTTGATAGTTCTATGCCCATGGTATTGAGCATGCCTGGACTTTGCTTTATTGGGTTCTATGGTTAATATGAGAAAGTAGGTATGATGTTTCATTAGCAAAATACATTCTTATAGGTCATAATATTCCCTATGGATGTACAAGTGTTTGGAAGCTCATTCTTAAAATAATTTGTAAGGCCATAACAACCTGAAAAATTGTGTTCTTTAAAATTGGTTTGAGGCCAAGTCATCTTTATCAGAAAGGTAATGGATACACTAAAGATGATCATAATTGCATTTTTATACCCATCACTAAATAGCTTATCCTCGGAGAGATGTGCTAAGCCCAGATCTCTAGTCTCAATCCTACTGCCGTACCCCCAGGCACCTTTTGCTTTTGCAGTTTTCCAAATGTGCCTGGAATCTGACTAGTTCCTACTGAACCTTAATGATTCTGCCTGAGCGTCACCTCCAAGAAGCCATCCCTCTTCACCCCAGCCCCTCTGCTGAGCTTCTAACTCAGCAGAGTTAGAAGCTGAGGTCATACCTTAGTATTCAAATACTAACAACACTATATCGAAGTTATCTGTTAACTTTACCTTTAAACTTCTAGCTCCTTTAAAGTTCTTCTTTTTCTTGGTCTCCTCAGAAGCTAGCACAGTGCCCAGTATACAATAGGTGGTCCTTAAGTGTTTTCTGAATGAACTGTTAATTATATTAGTGAATATTTAGACTCAAAAAGACTAACAGGGTGATACAAAACTATAAAAATCCTGAAAAGGAGATGTGCAGTTATACTGAAGGAAGAAAACAAGTCATATGATATCAAGATAGTCGATAAAAGGTTAACAAATGGAAGGTTTTCAGCATATCCCAAGCTAAACATTAGTCAGTGATTTAGTACCAACAACCCTGAGATGTTGGTCTTTTTTTTTTTTTACAGATTTTGTCCATTTTGGATCAGCATTTCGTAGGCACGATGTTTGAAGTTTTAAGTGGAACATTAAAATAGTAGTAAATCAAACATGTGAGGAAAGGCTTAGGGAGAGGTGTTCTGAACTCATACTTTGTAGTTCTATTTGGGAATACAAAGTGCTACAATGTGGGGACTGATCACCTGCAGAGCTTCATGTCTCCTGGGCTCATAGGAAATGCCACACTTGAAATGTGGTCAACACAACTCTGTAAGGCTAGCATTATTTTCTCATCTGTTTCATAGATGAGAAAATTGAGACTGGCATCTTGTGGCAAATCACGAGACCTAAAGGTGGAAGAAGTTTTCAAATCATTTTGCCTTGCTCTTTCCAGTATATCACACTGCTGCCATTATATCACACTTATATACATATAAATATATATACATTTCTGAGTGGTGTAAGCAAACAAAAATATGGTTTATTATAGAAAATACGCACACATCTCAAATTGTAATGATTCATTCTGTAAACTACGACAATTATGTTTTTAAAGAAAATCTATTGAGGTCAGGCACGGTGGCTCACGCCTGTAATCCCAACACTTTTGGAGGCCGAGGCAGGTGGATCATTTGAGGTCAGGAGTTCGAGACCATCTTGGCCAACATGGTGAAACCCCATCTCTACTAAAAATACAAAAATTAGCCAGGTGTGCTGGCTCGTGCCTGTAGTCCCAGCTACTCCGGAGGCCGAGGCAGGAGAATCGCTTGAACCTGGGAGGTGGAGGTTGTAGTGAGCCGAGATTGAGCCATTGCATTCCAGCCTGGGCAACAGAGTGAGACTCTTTCAAGAAAAAAGAAAGAAAGCCTGTTGAAATTAAGATTTGCAACACACTTGTAATTTTTATGACCTTGAAAAAGTCTAAGAATTTAGAACAAAATTAGATAAAGCCTACAGTATGGGTTTGACTTTGTGCCCTGTCTTAATCTGTTCAGGCTTCTATAACAAAATACCATACACTAGGTGGCTTCTAAACAACAGAAATTTATTTTTCATAGTTATGTAGTTGATGAGAACTATTCCAATAGTTCTAGAGGCTGGGAAATCCAAGAACAAGGCACCAGCAAATTCAGTGGTTTGTGCGGGCCTGTTTCCTGGTTCAGAGATGGTGCTTTCTTGCTGTGACTTCACATGGTGGAAGAGACAAAACAGCTCTTTGGGGTATTTTTTTAAATAAGGGCACTAATCCATTCATGAGAGTAGAGCCCTCATGACCTAATCACCTCCTGAAGACCCTACCTACTAATACCATTACCTTGCTGACTATGTTTCAACATACCAACTTTGAGAAGACACAAACATTCAGACCATAGCATTCCCCTTCTCTCCTTTGCCTCAAATAAGAAAGGAATAATTGTAATTACCCTTTCATTTCTTTAATTTATACGAATCCACACAGAACTGCACATACCCTATATTCCCTTAGCATTATTGTGTAGCTTGCCCCTATTAAGTGAGTCATTATGTGAATATTTTAAACTTTAAGAGAATTTCTGGGTCCTTCACTAGAGAAAGGAAAGAAGATGTGAAAATGAAGAAGTTGTATTCTGGGACAGATGGCCACACAGGCCTGTTCCATGCATGGTGACCCTCTGCCCTAACATATTTTCTTTCACATGATCAGTACTTTTTAACTATATCCCATCACACAAAAGTACAACCAGGGATTGCGTAGGCTAACAGGCATCCTTTAAAAAGATTCCTGGATGGTGGTCATCCTTCACCTTGCTCCTGGGGGTTGAATATTCTCAAGCTTGTGTCCTGCCCAAGCAAATGTTGAGCGTGGGCTAAATGTTAATCAGTGATGTCTGTCTGTGGGCAGTTTAACTCCAGATAAGGAAGGCTGTCTGAGAAGGTGGGTGGACTCTAAAAATCTCAACCAAGAAGTCTGAAGAAAGCTCAGAGAATAGTTATCAGGGAAAGCCACAAAGGACTCCGAAATTCTTAAGAACTTAAGCAAGAATTATTTTAGACTAGGAAGTATAGAAAAGGAGGGAATTTTCATTTGCCTGCTGTGATCTGCAGCACATTTTTCTTCCTGAAGAGGTCATCTTGACCTTTGTGTATCCAGTTCATCTTCCTACCTTGGGAGTGAGTGAAAGAGCTTGCAAAATATCCACCTACTTTTTTTCAGTTGGGTTGAATACAAAGGAATTGCATAGATCCATAGAAATATTGCCTTTTAAAAGGCTAAATTTCTGGACATTCGACCCTCACAGAAATTTCTCAGAGGGGTGGAGAAAAGAAATTATTGCTGCTTATCTACCAACAAATAGACTTCTGCCCTAAAAGCAGATGGAATGGGGCAGGGTGGGGTGATAAGAAAGAAGCAAAAGAGGAATAATAATAATTCTCAAATGAAATGAAGCTTCTAAAAACTAATGAGGGAAACAAAAAAAGCTTTTATAGTTTAGTTTGGAAGTGTTGGGCATTCTCCTCGTGTAAGCTGGTCTGATGATAACAGAGGAGAGAGAATGGAGACGTGTGGGTCCTTTCTTGCTTCCGTCTCAAGGAAATTCATGGTAAACTGGAAAGGGCAGAACACTTTAGTTAAGAGTGAGTTGTTCCCATTGAGGGCGGGAGTGAACATAAGCTAGTACCTAGTTGATTTAAATGGGTTGTCCAATTTCCTTGATTCTAGACATTATGAAGCTATTTAGTATCAGGATGTATCTCATAATCAATATGTGTATTTAATATGGTAGGATATTTTCTCCCAAAAACTTGTTATGAATAACTGGCTCATTAGTCTCTTGATTATATCTTAGAATGTGGGAAATAAGGTATTTCTCTTCAAAGGAGTTATATCCCAGATCACTGAAGACCTTTGTCAATTAAATTGTTGAACTGAAGAATTACAGTGAAAGATGCTGAAAGATTGGAAGTTGTGGAGGAAGTTACTAAAACTTGAAATGAGCAAATGTGGTTTGTATTTCCAGTAAGAGGGTGGGTTCCACATACAGTAGATGAGTGAGTAGATGAGGTTGATATTAATCCTTGGCAGTACTCTAGAACAGGAGGTCAGCAAGCTTTCTCTGTGAGGGACCAGAGAGTAAATATTTTTGGCTTTGTGGGCCATACAGGATCTTTCACGACGGCACAGTTCCATCACCGTAGCATGAAAGCAGCCATAGACAATATGTAAACAATGAGCACAGTTATGTGCCAGTAAAACTTTATTTACAAAAGTAATTGGCAGGCCAGGTGCGGTGGCTCACGCCTGTAATCCCAGCACTTTGGGAGGCCAAGGAGGCCTTGTGGATCACAAGGCCAGGAGATCGAGACCATCCTAGCTAACACGGTGAAACCCCGTCTCTACTAAAAATACAAAAAATTAGCCGGGTGCCTGTAGTCCCAGCTACTCGGGAGGCTGAGGCAGGAGAATGGTGTGAACCCGGGAGGCAGAGCTTGCAGTGAGCTGAGATCGTGCCTCTGCACTTCAGCCTGGGCGACAGAGTGAGACTCCATCTCACAAAAAAAAAAAAAAAAAAAAAGTAATTGGCAGGCCAGATATGGCCTGCAGGTGGTAGGTTGACCACCCCTGCTATAGAATAAATTGTTAACTGGGTGTTTTGTGAGTACTTAGGGAACTGGTGTGAACTGGGAACCAATCTGTGTTCTTTCAGAATAGAACTGGCTGGGGCAGTTCTTCTTCATTGTTTTTCAGCAAGGTTAATGTTACACAAGATCAAAAGTGTAGTTTATTTTTACTTCATTGAGGCACTTGGCAGAGTATTTCAAAAGAAGCTTTTGTAGAAGATGGAAAAAAAACACTTGGACCACTGCAGTTAGGTAGTTAACTGTGTGGTGCCTGCTATCTTTTATCTGATAAGAAGCACTGACAGATGACAATATAAGGGAGCAAGAAGCAGGTGGATGCTAACAGAAACACTTAGTATGATTTCTTTAAGATGTTCTGTATTTTAGTTTTTGAGATAAAAAGACTTGCAAACATAATATAGTAATAATATTCTGATGATAACAAACTTCCCCAATTTGTATGATGGAATTCTATATATCAAAATCATACTGTATTTCTGTTTTGTTTTTCTTTTTTTGGAGATGGAGTCTCACTCTGTGGCCCAGGCTGGAGTGCAGTGGCACGATCTCAGCTCACTGCAACCTCCACCTCCCTGGTTCACGCAATTCTCCTGCCTCAGCCTCCGAGTAGCCGGGATTACAGGCGCATGCCAGCACGCCCGGCTAATTTTTTTGTATTTTCAGTTGAGACGGGGTTTCACCATGTTGGCCACACTGGTCTCAAACTCCTGACCTCAGGCAATCCACCTGCCTCGACCTCCCAAAGTGCTGGGATTACAAGCGTGAGCCACCACACCCGTCTTCATACTGTGTTTCTTAAAGAGCACCATAATTTATTTCCTATTGCCCCATTACTGAAAAAAGCTTAAGAACCACAGGTAGGCCGGGCGCGGTGGCTCACGCCTGTAATCCCAGCACTTTGGGAGGCCAAGGCGGGCGGATCACGAGGTCAGGAGATCGAGACCATCCCAGCTAAAACGGTGAAACCCCGTCTCTACTAAAAATACAAAAAATTAGCCGGGCGTAGTGGCGGGCGCCTGTAGTCCCAGCTACTTGGGAGGCTGAGGCAGGAGAATGGCGTGAACCCGGGAGGCGGAGCTTGCAGTGAGCCGAGATCCCGCCACTGCACTCCAGCCTGGGCGACAGAGCGAGACTCCGTCTCAAAAAAAAAAAAAAAAGAACCACAGGTAGTGACCTGCTCAGTACAATACTCTCTTTGGCTCTGAAATGTTCTGCATTTTTAATCAGTGAATTTAATCATATAATGGCAAGTTAAATTTTTGGTAATTCAAACCTCATCTTCATTACAGACTCCTAATAACTAACAAGCTTATAATTAGAATATTCGTAAATTGTAGACTATCTCTCCTGGGCTCAGTGGTTAAAGCTTTATAGACAACACAGTATAAAGTAAGCCCTTTATCTCCAACAGTTTCCCAGCAATCTCAACATTTGGGACCTAGAAACAATTTAAGTCAGCACTAAACCCAAATTCCTCAGGACCAAAAGTTTTAGTCACAAAGTTCATATACTTTTCCTTCCTAAGACTCAAACATATTTGATGTTATAATACTTTTTCACATTTCCCAGAAAACATCAATGCTGTTCTAGAATGTAACATAAAAAAGAATGGAAAAAAAAATCAGTCTGTGACTAGTAGGTCAAAGAGCACATGGGGCAGCAGAAGCAGGTATAATTGAATGAAAACGTGTCAGCTAGAACTCAGTATTTTAAGGAACAGAAGGCTCAGCTCAATCTGACCTGAACAAGGGAGAGGGAGGGGAATGTGGAGCAGGGAAGAGCTGGGATTCTTAGCAATTTATTAGCTTCTATAACTGAAAAGTTCAGAAATCTGGCAAGTTCCCAATGTCCCAACTGTCACCAGGTTGAAGTACCTGGTTCTCCCTGCTCTGACTTCATGGTGTTGGCCTCACCCTCAGTTTTACACTGTGACCTTCAGCAGCTCTTCTCATTATGTTAGCGAAACAGCTATAGCCATTCAAACCCTCACACCTTCAAGAGAACCTATGGAAGAGAAAGAAAGCCTTTTTTTCCCAGAAGCCCCAGGGAACATCACTTTTGCTTTCATTGGCTCTGATTGGTTTATTCACCAATTCTGAACCAATCATTGTGGCCAGTAGGTATAGTATGCTAATTGGCTTATGTCAATCAAGACCCATCCCCAGAGCTGGAGGTAGTGACAGTCTCACTGGGATTGAGACAGGGAATGGGGTAAGACTGTTTTCTCAAAAAAGATTTAGGGTTCTGCTCCCAGGAAGAGTAGTGGTATAAAATGCCAGCCATCAAAGAGCTATGTACTACAAGAGCTGTGAGAAGTGAGAGGATAGAAGAAAGCCACCAAGGAGGAGATAGTGGATAGTCCAGATAAAACACCATAGCAATCTGATGCTCACACCTGCCTCTTCAGCTTTTAAAGCATCACCTAAATGATTACAGTGCACTGCTGATGTTCACAGTCACAACCCTGAGACATCTAGGAAAGATTAAATTATGTTTGATTTACTAAAACAGGGAAGAAGTTAAGGGGTGTTAGAAAGGTTTGTGTATGTTTTAATAAATAACAATGTTTTTAAAAGAACCAAAACTAAGCCAAATGGAAAGTTATTTTTACCATATGAGGCTTTAAATCTTATATTTTCTTGTACTCAGTCTCGATCTGTACCTCATTAAAGGGTGCCATGTGTTTGACTGAAATATTTTTAAAAGCTATGTTTTAGCTATGCTCAGTTTCTATCTTAACAAAGGAAGTTTCAATTGTTGACGAAAATGTTGTTTTTGCTTTTGTCCAGAATGCATACACAGCCACAGCTATCAACAGCACCAACTTCTGCACCTCAGCAAAGGATGCCTTTGTCATTCTGGTGGAGAATGCTTTGCGAGTGGCTACCATCAACACAGTAGGAGATTTTATGTTATTCCTTGGCAAGGTAAAACCAAGTATTTTTTCTGCAACATACAGTAAAATTTTGCATATATTTATTTGCTCTTTTATTTTAAAAATATTCAGGCCACCAAAAAACTAAAAGTAATATATAGCGAGTACTTAGAAAGCCCTTACTGTGTGTCCAGCATTGTGATAAGTACTTGACATATATTGTGCTCATTTAATCCTCACAATAAATTTTTAAGGTAAGTTCCATTATTATCCTCATTTTACAGAGAGGGAAACTGAGGCATGGAAAGGCTAGGTCATGTGCCTATGTTTCTCTTTCTGTGTTGTTTTTTTGTTGTTGTTTGTTTGTTTGTTTTTGAAACGGAGTTTCGCTCTTGTCGCCCAGGCTGGAATACAATGGTGCTATCTCAGCTCACTGCAACCTCCGCCTCCTGGGTTCAAGCAATTCTCCCGCTTCAGCCTCCCGAGTAGCTGGGATTACAGGCGTGCCACCACGCCCGGCTAATTTTTGTATTATTAGTAGAGACAGGGTTTCCCCATGTCGGCCAGGCTGGTCTCTAACTCCTGAGCTCAGGTGATCCAACCGCCTTCGCCTCCCAAAGTGCTGGGATTACAGGCATGAGCCACTGCACCCGGCCCTCTTTACGTGTTTTGAACTGTAAAGAATTAGGAAATAGTCTTCCTCCAGGTTAGTGGTACTGCAACTGGAGCCTGACTGCCTGGATTTCAGTTCTGACTCTATCACTGATAGTTGTGTGACCTGGGCAGGTTAGATAAGGGAATCACTCTGTGCCTCAGTTTGCTCATCTGTAAAATTGGAATATAATAGTGCCAAACTCCTAGGGTCATGAGATTAATGCATTGTTAATACATGTAGGGTATCTAGGAGAGTGCTTGACACATTTTAAGTTCTCAGTGAATGTTAGTTGTCATCATTATTATTACAGTATTATATATAAGCCCCTTCAAAATAGAGCTGTTAGAGAACGAGACTTATACTTTCCTTAGAAGTGTCGAACAAGAGGCATTTTATTCTATACTATTAAAATACTGCAAAATATTCAATAACATAATTAGATTTCATTGTATCTGAGTATTAAACCATAAAATGCTCAGAAAATTTTTTAAATTGAGGAAAGAGAAAGGCTTATACTACCACCACTATAACTAAATAACTTATTTCTATATAATTCTTCCCATTTTTTTTTATCGGCTTGTATTTCTATAGTATAACAATCATAGCATACGTACCTGTTTGTCCCGCCCATTTCTCTTTACATTACATCATATACATTTTCCATCTTGTTTTGATAATCTTCACAATTATTCATTATTACCATGGTAAATATCCACCAAATACTATTTGTAAACATTCTCTTACTATTGAACCCTTAGGTTGCTCTAGCCAACTGTATTTTTTAAGTGTTTTTGTAAAGAAAATATGTTTGGCATGGAGAAGTATATATAGCATTGTGTGTGATGAAGTGGGTCGGGTCTCTACAGCTGATTCAGAATTCACCATCTTTATTTTTGTTTTTGTTTACGTATTTATAATTTATCCCTACAGCTAAGAAAGATATGAAGCAACTTAGAATAAAAGTATATATATGTATACACACACACACACACACACACACACACACACACACTACACACACACACTACACACACTGCTTTTTTTTTTTTTTCCAGATGGAGTTTCACTCTTATTGCCCAGGCTGGAGTGCAATGGCACAATTTCGGCTCACTGCAACCTCCGCGTCCTGGGTTTAAGCGATTCTCCTGCCTTAGCCTCCCAAGTAGCTGGGACTACAGGCATGCACCACCATGCCCATCTAATTTTTGTATTTTTAGTAGAGACAGGGTTTCTCCATGTTGGTCAGGCTGGTCTCAAACTCCCGACCTCAGGTGATCTGCCCACCTCGGCCTCCCAAAGTGCTGGGATTACAGGCATGAGCCACTGCCCACGGCGTTTTTTACAAAGGGAAATAAGAAGCCATTTAGAGGAATAAGGGAGATACTAAAAGTGGCAATATTTGATGACGATGATTTTAGTAAACTCTGATTAAGATACTTTGGGTACCAGGCAATGAGTGAAGGGCTTTTGTTAAGTGTTACATTTGGTCCTCCCCTGTAAGGTGAGCTACTAGTATTATCTTTGGTTTTCTCTACTCTAAAGTTTAGAGAAAAATTAAATTGGCCAAATTTAGAGAACTAGAATGTGGCCGTTCAAACTCAGGTCTGTCTGACTTCTAAGTTATTAATCACTGTGTGCTATAATTGCCTCAGCTGACATTAAATTTGTCCTTGGGCCTTTTTAAAAATTTTTTTAAAAGCCTTTTGACTCAGTAATTCTGAGTCAATGATAAGCCACTCCTGGTAATAGTAACTGCAACAAATACAGCATTATTTATATAGTGACCAATTGTAAACAATCTGATGCCTAACAATAGAGAAATGGTTGGGAATAATAGTCAATAGACTGTTATTCACCTACTAAGCCATGTTTTTTATTAAGAGTTTACAATATGAAGAAATGCATATAATGTAATAAATGAAAAAGCTGAGTAAAACTACTGGGCTTTAGTAGTGTTTAAAAATGTTTATAAGAAAAAGAATGGAAATGAATATCTCAAGATGTTAACAATGATTGCTTTTGGATATTGAAAATATAGATAATTCCAAACCCCTACCCCACTTTATTGTAGTAAGATGATGTTCTCTATATTGAGTATGCATTATTTTTTTAATGAAAAATAAAAAGATGAGTTGGGCGCGGTGGCTCATGCCTATAATCCCAGCACTTTGGGAGGCCAAGGCGGGCAGATCACCTGAGGTCAGTAGTTCAAGACCAGCCTGGCCAACAATGTGGTGAAACCTCATCTCTACTAAAAAATACAAAAAAAAAAAAATTAGCCGGGCGTGGTGGCGAGTGGCTGTAGTCCCAGCTACTTGGGAGGCTGAGGCGGAGAATCGCTTGAACCCAGGAGGCAGAGGTTGCACTGAGCCGAGATTGCACCACCGCACTCCAGCCTAGGCGACAGAGCAAGACTCTGTCTTAAAAAAAAAAAAGAGAAGAATATAAAGATGATAAAACACAATGTTCTAAAATTGGCTTTTTTTAGCAGCCTAGTGACCTGTTAAAACTTTTTATTATATCTTTTTATTCATGTCTTTATAGAGTGTCTACTAGTAATGTGGTAAGGACTGTTACAGGTCCTGGTTATATACTGATCAATACATAGAATTTAAAATCTAGTAGAGGGCCGGGCACGGTGGCTCACGCCCATAATCCCAACACTTTGGGAGGCTAAGGTGGGTGGATCACTTGAGGTCAGGAGTTCGAGACCAGCCTGGCCAACATGGGGAAACCCCGTCTCCACTGAAAATACAAAAATTAGCCAGGCATATAGTGGTACATGCCTGTAATCCCAGCTACTTGGAAGCTGAGGCATGAGAATTGGTTGAATCTGGGAGGTGGAGGTTGCAGTGAGCTGAGATAGCGCCACTGCACTGCAGCCCGGACGACAAAGCGGGACTCTGTCTCAAAAACAAAAACAAAAGAAACCTAGTAGAGAAGGCAGTTTTGTATACCTCTTTTCACTTGGTGTTACATTATGAGCATTTCTTGTTTTCTTAACACTTTTCTAACTATGGTTATACAACTGTTGTGTCATTTATTTAATCAATCCTCAGGTTTTCTGTTTTTTACAGTTGAGCTGTGCTCAATTTTTTACTAACCTAAAGCTTGTATTTGTGTGTAAATCTTGCCCACATCAATCTTTATTTCCTGAGACCAGAATCCTAGAATTAGAATTAATTAGGGTTCTTGATGTGCATTGCCAGATTGCTTTCCAGAAAGATATATTTTTAATAATGTAATATTTATAATATTTCAAATGACTTTAAAAACCATAAAAGATAAATACATTTTTTTAATTGAGAAATTCAGAAAAGAGAAAAATAAGAGGAAGAGAAATCTTCTGGGTTTCTAACATTTTAATATAAATGTTCTTTAGTTTTTCTTTCCTAAAAATATAGTTCTGGTCATAGAATACAGTAAATCTTTTGAAAAGAGTTTTTCATTACAATTCAATGGCTGCTAGCATGCAGAATTTGTTTCTAATCAGGTAGTTCAACTAATAGATCATAATAAACATTATAAAACATGATGCCAGAAATGAATTGTTCATATACATATCAACTTGAATGAATCTTGAGGGAATTATGCTGAGCGAAAAAATCTAATCCCAGAAGATTAATTCCATTTATATAATAGAAATGACAACAGGGCTGGGCTCTGTGGCTCACGCCTGTAATCCCAACACTTTGGGAGGCCAAGGAGGGTGGATCGCTTGAGCCCAGGAGTCCAAGACCAGCTTGAACAACATGGCGAAACCCCATCTCTGCAAAAAAATACAAAAATTTTCCTGGCATGGTGGGGTGCGTCTGTATTCCCAGCTACTCGGGAGGCTGAGGTGGGAGAATCGCTTCAGCCCAGAGGCAGAGGCTTCAGTGAGCCGTGATCACACCGCTGCATTCCAGTCTGGGTGACAGAGCAAGACTCTCAAAAAGAAAAAAAGTAAAATGACAAGAGTATGGAAATGGAGAATGGATTTGTGGTTAGAGATCGGGTTGAGGAGGAGGGGAAATAGCTGTAAAATAACAAAGTGAAGGGTTCCAGTGATGATGGATATATTCTGCATCTTCACAGTATCAATGTCAATATCATGGTTGTGATATCAGTATGCTATAGTTTTACAAGATGTTATCATTGAAGGAAGTTGGGTAAAGGGTACGTGGAACCGTTCTACTATTTCTTACAACTGCATGTGAATTCACAATTACCTCTAAATTTTAAATTCAATTTTAAAACTGTGAATTTAAAAATAAAAAAAAGACATCATTATGGGTTCCATTTCTATGGTACTCTAATAGTTTTTATGGAATGTGAATTAGATTTGTAAGGGACCTTAGCTCTTCTAGTTTAGTGACTTGTAACATATGGTCACTGGCCAATAGGGTCCTAAAGGTAAGAATAGAGGTTTATAATCCAGTTTAAATATTTTTAAGTATTGATATTTGTCCTAATAAAGCTATCCCAAAACCCCTCAATCTCAAATTCCTTTGCTTCTGTGTGAAATTACTTTACTTCCATTTGGTAATATCTTTTCTCACACTAATTATATCTTCTAGTTGACAATTTATTTGACTTGGGTTAATAAAAATTGAGAATATGAATTATTACTTATAAATGCTATTTTATTTGTAAATAATATCTTTCAAAATGTAGGTTCTCTAGAGAAAGAGCATCATAAATGTTGCACTTATGATGGCAAGAAAAGAAAGGAAGGGAGAGAGGGAGAAACATTGCCAGGCATTGCATTAAATACTTTTAGAATGCTTATTTTAACAATCGTGGGATGTATGTATTGTTATGTCTCTTTTAAAGATGGAAAAACAGGCTCAGAATGGTTAAATGAACTTGCTTAGAGTTACAAAACTAAGTACTAATTCCGTAATTCAAATCTACATCTTTCTGACTCCAAAACTAGTTTCCTTTCCTTCCTGCTTCCCACATCCTACCTAAAGCATGAATCTCTTCTACTGCATTCCAATAATTTATCCTCTAGAACAGGAACGTCTATTTTTTTTTCTTTTTTTTGAGATGGAATCTGGTTTTGTGCCCAGGCTGGTCTTGAAGTCCTGGGCTCAAGCAGTCCTCCTGCCTCAGCCTCCTGAGTAGCTGGGACTGTAGGTGTGAGCTGCCATGCCCAGCTAGGGATCTCTTAACTTCTAAAGTCATGCGCCCTATTAAGAAAAAAGTTTGATCACAGTTGTTCAATATATTTACATTTATTTATCAAATATTTATCAAATAAATGTAAATATTTATATATATATAGCTGTTACTAATATATGTCTTATAAAGCATACGAAAGAAGACATTTTAAATGTATGAGAAATATAATAGAAGTCCCAGGTGATCCTGTTAAATACTCCCTAGGACGTGGGTATCTCCATCCATGTGGATCTCCATCCACCATGGAGATCACTGATATAGACCAGTACTTCTTGAGACATAGTCTTTATCAGCACCTGGGATACTTTTTAAATGCAAACTACTGGGCTTTATCATGGATCCAACCAACCAGACTCTGGGATTAGGGCCCAGGAATCTGCATTCTTAGCCTTTCTACAGTTTGAGAACCATTAATGTATCTGTTTGAATAAGTGCATAACACTCTTTCATTATATTTGGGAATAACTACTACATTTTTTTGGCTAAACATCACTAATTGTTGAAGTTACCTCCTGCATGAGAATATCTAAACTTCCATCTCACCAGCTTTTTGTCTCAGCGTCTAGTTTGTTTGAGCCATACCTTTTTTCTATAACTAACTTTACCATTTCAAAGGGGTTTAACTTTTAATGGCATGGTGAGAGCATGAAGAACCTCAGCCCTCCAAGAGGGTGAATGTGCAAGATTTGGAGAGTATAGGAAATAACTCACTCTAAAATTGAAACCAGGAGAGTGGAAGAAAATTGAAGTAATGACCAGGCGCGGTGGCTCACACCTGTAATCCCAGCACTTTGGGAGGCCCTGGCGGGCGGATCACCTGAGGTCAGGAGATCGAGACCAGCCTGGCCAACATGGTGAAACCCTGTCTCTACTAAAAAATACAAAAAAAAAAAAATTAGCCAGGTGTGGTGACGAGCACCTGTAGTCCCAGCTACTTGGGAGGCTGAGGCGAAGAATTGCTTGAACCCAGGAGGTGGAGGTTGCAGTGAGCCAAGATCATGCCACTGCACTCCAGCCTGGGCAACAGAGCAAGACTCTGTCTCGAAAAAAAAAAAGAAGAAAAAGAAAAGAAAATAGAAGTAATTAACCATCTATGGAAATAACCCCAGAAAATGAGAAAGAAAAAAAATGGAAGTAATTAACCATCTATGGAAATAACCCCAGAAAATAAGTCACTATAAGAGAAGATTCATAAGTGTGTTGCTACAAAAATGGTGGGGAGTCTTCCAAAGCTTGGGCAGACCCAGATTTGCTCCCTAGAAGCATCTGAGAGAGGGATCAATTTATAGCTTAACCAATGTATCATCTAATGCATTTTAACTCCGAGTTAAGATAATGGTGAATGAGAAATGCCTTGATGTTGATAAATATTGGAGAAAATGCCAAAGAAGAATTCATGGTCTGCCTATTATTCTTAATGCTAGACAAGAAGAGGCTGCCATGATTCTAGGGGTCTCTTTTTTCCCTTTACTTAAAGCCTTATACAAGACAAAATAAAGAGCTGGGAAAGAGTGTGTCTAGAATTCAGTAGAATCCATTACTGCTGTGGATCAATATCCAAATATTTCTGAGTTTTTATCTGAAAAGAGCACTGGAGTTGACATCATAAGACCATTATTTGAGTAGGATCTGTTCTTTTTTCCTACTTTTATGACCTTGACCTTGGATCTACTCTTTTTTTTCTACTCAGGTCGGGTGGCATCTGTAAGTGTGTTTCCAAGGCTATAAAATGGGATGATAATATTTGCCATAAACCATTCATAGGGTTATTGAAAAGCTGGAATAAAATGTATTTTAAAAACCACAAAAAATTTAAAATGCTGCATGTGAAATAAGCATCAGAGTGGGTGGTTCTTGACAATAACTAAATTGGCTATTTCTTTTATTCTTTTAGCATGGATGTTTTTGGCAACCTCTTTCTTCACAGAGAGTCCAAATATACACTTCATGGCAAATTATATTTACCACATATTCTATGTGAAATAAAATACGAAACACAGAAAAAGTTCTAAGACTATACATGTTTGTTGCAGCATTATTTATATCTGAAAACAATATAAATCTCTAACAGTAAGAGAATGGTTACATGTATTTTAAATCACTCATAAAATGAAATTATGTAGCTGAGTAAATATGAAGCATTTATAATGATACTTCTATGTATATTAATGAAAAGCTTATAGTGATTTGTTTATATAATACTATTTCATATATGTGAAAATGCTTAGAAAAAATACATACCATTACACTGAAATATCACTTTTTTTCTGAGTGCTAAGAGTTTGTAAATTTTTTCTAAAATATGCATACATTTATCTTAAAAATTGCCACAGATTCTAAATAGATTAAGTTTTAGGGTGCAGCATAGCATTTGGAAAACTTAATTATGTTTAAACCAGAATCATTTAAAGTATGATTTTAAAATTTATATTATATGATAAGCATGTATAACTCTGGGTGTATATGAGAATATGTGGATTATATTTCCTCATTTGAGATGGAATGGCCTCATGCAACCATCATTTATAAATAGTAGAATTTTAAGTCTGCAAATGGTGAAAAAAGAGTGGCTTTCTTCAGTAGGATATTAAATATGATCTTTGTTCTCTCTGCTTCAGGTGCTGATAGTCTGCAGCACAGGTTTAGCTGGGATTATGCTGCTCAACTACCAGCAGGACTACACAGTATGGGTGCTGCCTCTGATCATCGTCTGCCTCTTTGCTTTCCTAGTCGCTCATTGCTTCCTGTCTATTTATGAAATGGTAGTGGATGTATTATTCTTGTGTTTTGCCATTGATACAAAATACAATGATGGGAGCCCTGGCAGAGAATTCTATATGGATAAAGTGCTGATGGTAAGTACTTCAAATGCCGTTTCCTATTTTAGGGATAAAAATACCAATAAAAATATTTTGTAAAACATTCTCTATATTTAATTCACACTATATGCAACTGAGTAATTTAGAATTAACCCCATAGCACTGACTCATAAATGAGGTTAATCTAGGGTAAGTCAGGGAGGACGGCTTCTTGGCATGGACAAGATCATTTCAGATCCACCTAGCTAGAGCAGTACTGGTTAATAGTCCTAAGTTCACCCTATTCTTGCTGCCCCTCTCTCTGTAGTTAGATAGATTTGAATTGACTTTTTAAACTAGCTTCTAGCCTTTTCCTGAAATGGGGCTCAAAGACAAAATATCCTGTTTCCCAGGTCCTAGTGCCTACCTGTCTTTCTCTATCCACCACTGCCCCAAACATTACTGCTGTCAACCCTGGTTAAAACTCATTATCTTAAATATGGTAGGCCAAATTGAAAGCATTTTGTGATGAATACCGATAACAGACCCATGACTGGTAGAGTGTATAGTTATTTATTAGTCAAGATCTGAACCTTTACACAGATATATGCAGATTTTTCATATTAGAACCTCAATTAAATTTCTTTAAAATTTTGAAAACCTTATTAAATGGTTTAAGTACTGTTATAATCAGTGTTAAATGTTACCAAAGTAAAGATGCTTTCTAAATAATAGTAGTTTGCTATTAAGCTGTGAAATATTTCTATCTCAAAATGGGTAATATTGAATACTAAGCATTATACATTGAAATAACAAGTCATTTTCCAGGAGCATATTTTATCCAGTTAAATCTAAAATAAGTGTATTAATAAATAAGCTAGATTTTTTTTTTTTTCTTTTTGAGACGGAGTCTTGCTTTGTCACCCAGACTGCAGTGCAGTGGCATGGTCTTGGCTCTGCAACCTCTACCTCCCAGGTTCAAGCAGTTCTCCCTCAGCCTCCCAAATAGCTGGGATTACATGCATGTGCCACCACTCCTGGCTAATTTTTGTATTTTTAGTAGAGATGGGGTTTTACCATGTTGGCCAGGCCGGTCTTGAACTCCTGTCCTCAGGTGATCTGCCTGCCTCGGCCTTCCAAAATGCTGGGATTACAGGTGTGAGCCTCCATGCCCAGCCTAGATTTTTTTTTTCTTTTCAATAGCAAGAATTCCAAATGATTTAGCTGACCTATTTGGCACTGATTTTCTCTTTTTCTGGCAACATCAGCTAAATTCTGGACATTTTCTTAATGTCTAAACTAATTCTAACTGGTTATTTTCTTAATGGAATTTGATCATGATTATTGTATCTCTTTTGTGACTAAAGCATTTAGAAGAGTGTTACTGTTTTTTAAGTCACTGATCAAAAGCAGAGTAAAAAATAACTGTTTTCCACCCTTCAGTTTTCTCTGTAGGAATGGTGAGGATATTTAATGAAGAAGTTCCCCGTAAACGTTGACAGAATAGAAATGTTCCCTTTGGGCACATTCCCATTTCGACTACTACTAACCATAGGTTCTGGTTGATACACCCTGTCTTCCTGCTTCATGAAGTAATGTCATGGTCAGATTGACACTTTTTTTAAAAAGAGTAGTTTGTTTATGGTTTGGTTAAGAAAAAAAGCATTATGTGCTTAGCAGTATCAATGTGTTCTTTTACCTTCTATGGTTATTTAAAAGTGGAGGCTTATGGAGTAACGTGTTCTTGTTGTTTCATTTAACCTTGATATAGAAAAAAACAACAACAACAAATAAAATGATATTCTGAGTATGAGAAAATAGCCTCTTAAAAATGTTAGGTATTTTCTCTTCCAGGTAGAACTAACATTATCTCTTGGAGCCTTAGTAAGATTGTCACAATGAATGGATGGAAAGAAGATTTTTTTAATCAGCGAATTGCAGAGTCCATTTCTACAAATTTAGCAACTCTCATGTGTGATACTAAACATTATTTATTGCTATGTTTTTAAGCCATCCATTTACCAAGATTGAGTCAAAAATGTAGATGTTCTTTAGAATTCATCTACTAACAAATCTGAAAGGACCCAAGAATTTATTCAATATGGTCCATATTTTGCAGGAGTTTGTGGAAAACAGTAGGAAAGCAATGAAAGAAGCTGGTAAGGGAGGCGTCGCTGATTCCAGAGAGCTAAAGCCGATGGTAGGTGGAGATGAGGAGGTGGCCGCCCTCCAAGAATTTCACTTTCACTTCCTCTCTCTCTCTGTCTTCACTGACTGCACTTCTTCAGGAGAAGCTTTTGTTATCTGTATCACGCAGGACATGCTGCTCTTTCTGTTTGTGTGCTTACCCATCACTTGGATGGCAGAATTCTTGTCACAACTGAGACCACCTTCTATAAAAGTAAGCTGAAAGGAACAGCATCCTCGTCAGTGCTCGGCAGGGGCGGGTAGGGGATGATGGTTTTTTCCCTAAGGTAAAACTGCTGTTGCTCTTGTTTCCTTTTTAACTGTCAGTGTTTGGCTTTCATCAGACTGAACATTTTGGTGTACACTTGAACTGACGGTTTGATTTTTATCATTTTGGAAGGTGATCATAGCAATTCCTTTCAACTTGCTAAAATTCATACTCCCCCTTTTAAAAGTATGGTTCTGCTTACATTGCTGTCCTTTTCCCTTGGCTGACTTTTTCTTCTGTTGCCTAGGTTGTACTTTCTTTGTTTCTTAAGCTATTTTTCAGTAGCAAACAAGGCTGTTTTCATCAATACCCACATTCCCACTCAGTAAGACAATCTAGTCTTCTCCCAGTTTAATTGTGAGATGGATAAATTATTTCTGGTAGTTGATATTATATATGTATATGTACACAAATATATCTCTCTACTCCACTTTTATTTGAAAAAAGCAGCTTAATGAGTGTAAGAGAACCTTGAGCTGCTTTTCACATGGATATTGTCACTATAGCATAGAAACAGATGCCTCTATCATATATTGGTCTAATTACTTCCTAATTTAAACACGTATTTTTTTAAATAGCATGTTTATTTTCAAATATTATATAATTGTCTGCATCCTTAAATAATTTTAAACAATGTGTCCCCTGACTGCATATAATGTTCAAAAGTGTGAGGTAAGGACTTTCCTTTCTGTCTTCTTTACACTTTAGTAAATGATTTGATTTATAGCAAGTTTGTCCAACTTGCTGCCTGTGGGCCGCATATGGCTTAGGAAGGCTTTCAACACAAATTCGTAAACTTTATTAAAACATGAGATTTTTTGCCTTTTTTTTTTTAAGCCCATCAGCTATCCTTAATGTATTTTATATGTGGCCCAAGACAATTCTTCTTCCAGGATGGCCTGGGGAAGCCAAAAGATTGGATACCCCTGATTTGTAGGTTTTCAACTTTAAAATATATGCTATAAAATAAGTTCATTTAAGTAGGCTAGGCATGGTGGCTCATGTCTGTAATCCTAGCACTTTGGGAGGCCGAGGCAGGTGGATTGCCTGAGCTCAGCAGTTTGAGACCAGCCTGGGCAAAACGGTGAAACCCTGTCTCTACTAAAATACCAAAAAAAAAAAAAAAAAAAAATTAGCTGGGCATGGCGGCGTGTGCCTATAATCCGAGTTACTTGGGAGGCTGAAGCAGGAGAATTGCTTGAACCTGGGAGGCAGAGGTTGCAGTGAGCCAAGATGGCGCCATTGCATTCCAGCCTGGGCGACAGAGCGAGACTCCATCTCAAAAAAAAAAAAAAAAAAAAAAATATATATATATATGATATAAAATAAGCTCATTTAATTAAGAGTAAAGGAAATAGGTTTATTTTTGGAGGGAGGCAGGGAGGCTATATGTATATTCAAACTAATCGCATATTCAACCTAAGTTAAAGCCTCAATAAAATATTTAGATATAAAACCTTTCCTCTGTAACCCTTTCCAGTGCCTATTTTGGTGTTACTCTTACTTAATAGCATGAATAATTATAAAATCAAATTTAAATGTTTAGAATCCCAGAGCACAGATCACTCTAGTACCCACATAGCTCTGAATTTTAAGTTTGCATCACCTAGACATGATTGCTTGGGCAGATGGAGGCACACCAGTAATCTTCCCATCAGGTTCCATGCCTGCCCTCCACACCTTTCTGTATCCCTCTTATTTCACAAAAGCTGAGGAGGGCAGCAGTGGAGATTCTGCCAACCCTATGGCAACATGGAGAAATGAGGAAGGCTTCCTTCCTTCTACTGCTTGGAGGTCCTAATTGTTCAGCAAATCGATTCTAAGCCCAAAACTTAACAAGACATATGAAATCTTAAAATATAAACCAAGCTTTTCCCCCTTTTCTGTCTTTCTAGTGATTGAAGCTTTCATTACATCATTCAGTAATAAGCATTTAAAGAAAGGGAGAAATATTTCGAGGTTGAAGACTAGGTAATGTGGCCATGAGTTGGCACAGATTTCTATAGTATTCTTTAATGAATGGTAGATGAATTGTAGTAGATCAGAATGCAAGTATACTTTCCTTACCTAAACTCCTAATTTATAGGTAATAATCCTGGGAGAATTGCCCAGGTTATGTGGCATTCTACCAGATGCCAAATATTTTAGAAAGAGTTGTTTCCTATTAGTATTTTCAGTTTTGAAATAGTGTCCCTTACTTCAAACAATGCATTAAAATCTTTATTTAATTTTTGCTTTCATTTTATGCTGTTCATCAGTTCATTGCTTGCAGATTAATGGCAAAAACCCTCTGCTGCATCCCAAAATACATCTTCTATGTGCATTGTTCTGGTGCTTTGGACATTGTAGCATTGGGTCCCTAAGAATGATGTTTTAAATGGTTAAAAAGTTCCCAGAAGACAAGTGTGAAATGCTGCTCACAGAGTAGTTTTATTTTTTCAGCACCTTAGTACCTTCTTTATTTCTCTTCCATAGTATGCATGATTAGAGTTGGCCCCTACTAACACCATTCCTTTGCATGTGTTTCTAAAAAAGTATTTCAGAAATTTCTACTGAAAGTTTGGGGATTGATAGAATTTAGGATTGCTTATTTGTATTTGCTTGATATAATTCACATATTGTTGCTGTAGATGAAAGTTCTATAAAAGAGCATCATGCCTATTTTGCATTAGCTCTAGAAACATTGCTGCTGTTTGAATTCACTATCTTCCTCCCTCCTCAATGAGATATTTTAATTTAGGCTTCATTTTTAGCCTATAAAATAATGTTCAGTAAAATGAGGTTTTATATTTTCCTTTTGACAGCAGATCATTGAACTAAACATGAGAACTTCCGGTTTTGTTCTTGAACTTTTCCCTGAGAGAGGCTCGCTAGTTAAGGAAACTTTAAAGATTTATGAATTTTTTTATGATTCTCTGAAAGTGATTTTGGAAAAATGTACCAAAAGTGATGAAGAGGTTTAGGAAAGAGATTTTCTGACTGTCTGCTTGCTATCATATAGGAAAGAACTTAAAGAGAAAAGGGAGGAAAAATCCTAGACACTGTAGGAACATGGGCCAGAGAAGTATGCTCTGTGTATCTCAGAGATGATCCTGGATAAAGTGTGACTTTCAACATTCATAAGAATTTCAGCTCCAGGAATTCAGGGGAGAAGGATTCTCAGTCCATTTTGCTGTCTTGCTGTTTGTGACCATGTGTATATTTGTAACATCATTCATGATCTCCTTTTAATGGTAATTGTCTAAGATTATACTCTGTATGACTTTGTTTTCTAGGCTTCGGGAGCAAGTTCTGCTTGAACCTAGCCGACGGTTATGGAAACCCATTGACATTCCAAAACAATATATACACATAACTATGTATTTGTGTGTGTGGGTGTGTGTATATATGTATATGTATGTGTGTATATATGTATATGTATATACACACACACACATAAATCAGCCAAAATCAGAGAAAAGGAACAGGGATTTAATACCTTTTTTATGCTTATTTTTGTCAAACATGTACTCCTTTCATACGGGTGGCTTTTACAAGGCAACTTCCGTCATTTAATGTTTTCAACTGTAATTGTCTTAATGGAAATGTTAAAATTCATATCTGATTAACATTTTTAATAACTTAGAGGAGATTTTAACTTTATTTAAAAATAGGTAAAATTATTGTACCTAATTATGTCTAAAGTTTATTCAGGGGTAATTTCCCTGATGTCTGTATAAAATCAAGATCTTATTTTACTGATGCATAAGTCCTAGTGGGTCAAGACTAGGCATATGCTTTCAGATAAATAAGGAATTACTCCAATCAGTTTTCCCCAATCAAAGAAGCCATGTCATTTTACTTTTAGAAACATACAATTGGGCCCAATATGGGAATTTTCATAATAGTTCATACATTTGTCAGCCAACATTAAAAGGTAACCAACTCCTCAGGTATTTGTAGTTTACCCTAACGCTTCTTTAAAAGAAAGTAGGTAAAAAAAGAAAAGGGTAGATAATCTTTCGTATGCAAACTTTTCCCTTATATTTTGTCTTTCTTTCCTTTTTGACTTTAGTAGCATCCTCCACACATTTGTGTGCCTGATTTGAAAGGAAGCTGGGGCACCCAGCGAGTTTAGCCTTTAAGTTTCTGTGTATTGATTTGCAGATTAAGTAATGCTGGGAGGAATAAAGAAGGGACAGAAACATGGAACATAAAGCATTGAAAATTCCGGTGCTTGGGCTTCGGCTTCAGAGTAACGTCAGTGGCTTAGGGTTAAACGGCCATTTTATTCAAATGCTTGCTATACAATCTGAAAACACACTGGCAGGTGCTCCTCTCCTTGGCAATTCATTGAGTATCCAGAGTTCTACGATGTTTAACTGAAGAATTGGCTAATGTTTTGATCCTCCAGTGTGACTGTTGTTTTTGTTTGGGGGTGGGTTTGGGGTTTTTTGCTTTTTTATTCCTGAAGCTTACCAGATATGAATGGCTAATACTCCATTGTTCTGCTTGTTGTAATGGTGAATGCTTTAAGAAAAAAAAGTGTAATTTGCTAAGAATAATTCATGATCTGTTTATGCGATAACTCCTTTTTGTTACAATTTTTTTAAAAAAAGCTATTTTTGTTAATGTAAAGTAAATATTTCAGAGCAAATTTTTTAAACTTATTGCACTAAATACAGGCTCTGTACAAAAAAAAAAAAAAAAAAAAAGCCTCAGCATTTTATCATTCCATGGAAGGAGAATCTTTTGAAAGAAAGCATTGCCTCCTACCAGAACTAGACAGTGAATTAGATCGGTATTATGGAAATGCATACAAGTAATGTCACTAGGGCTTAATAAGCAGCCGTTTGCTAATGTGCTTCCTTTCAAAGGGTTGGACCTTTAAATTGCTGCAAAAGGTAAATTGTATTTTTTTTTAAGTATTGGTGTTCTTTACTCTAGCTAGGCTAAAATTTGCTAAATGCCTTGGTTTCTTTTAAAAGTTCATGTAATATTTCTGATTTTTCAGAATATTTGCAATAAGAGTCTGGATTTTAAAAAACACATGCATACACACAATTAAGAGCTCATGTCTTAGCAAGATCTGGGAAACCAACATTGCGAGAGTAGCTATTTTGAAAGAATAATTCTCCAGAAGTTAACATCTAATATCTAGTATCACCAAACAGTATCGCTGTTCTCTTTTATTCATTTGAAATGAATATAATTATATAACTAACAATTGTCCAAATAGATGAGAGAGCAAATCATGTGAGAAAATTCAGAATACCATCTGTTTCATAGCCGCACAGATTTTGGACTTTCACAAACATTGGGAACTAAATTTAGAATTGGCAAAAGTCTAGAAGATGGGTATCAAAACAGAAGACATTCCAGGAGCTAGCAATTTTAAGAGGTGTCCCTCCAAAGTGACCTGATGGAAGTCCTGAACTTGGAAATTAGGTTCTACTCACTTGGACATCCCTGCATCATGGACTGTTGCTGCTCCCTGTTCCATATGCTCGCAATCTCAGCTATTTGGAAGCTACCAGGAATGCTTTCTAATTATCATTTGCAACTAGAACTGTAATCAGAAAGAAATTTTGTATTTTTGTATAACTTGATTGTGTGCCATTTTATATAACAGGTCCTGTTTTACAAATAAATTTTGTTTTACTAACATTGTGTTTAGAAATTATAATCTATGTGTAACCATGTCATTTGAGTTGCAAATTAATTGCCAGGCTGTTTTCCTTAAGTAAATTCATGTGCCGTGTAGAAATATGCAGATATGCATTACACAGGCACACACAGAGAGATATTTAATATGTGGAATATCACTCTTTCATGAGCTTTATTCCTTGATTAATTTGATAAAGCCTCACAGAGGATTTTAAGCAATATTTAAATGTGTTGAGGTTATGTTTGGATATTCCTGCTGCCTCTTTTCATTCATTTCAAGTCATTCTTCAGCTAGCTATGGGCTGCCTTATTGCTATTCGCTCACTGCTTCCATCTTCTGCCCAAGTGAGAAGAATAGATGAAGAACAGAAATTTCTCTGTGAAATGTGGATACCCGAATAATTTCATAAATCATTGATTCTATGTGGTGGTTTTTGTCTTCTTCTGTGGTGAATCTTCAAAACTGTATTCAGGACTCATATTTCTAGAGTTTTAATTGGGGTCCTCTATTGTCAATTGTAGTAGTGACCAGAGTATCGTGGTTTTTGCCATCAGATAATTAAGGCTCTGGTGCATAATTTAGACTTTCTAAGCTCCTGCCTGAAGAATAAGGTCTTCCATAATATGGAAGAGAAAAGTTATATTTCAGTGTAAATCCAAGAGACCCATCTTCTATGAGAGGCTTACCAGTGCATTAGTAATAAAACATTAGCAATTTAGCTAGAGCACTGAGATTGTATAATCCTTGCATGGATGAGCAGAGCTCAAAGCCAGTTGTTCCTTTAAAGCATTTAATGCAATGGCTAATGTTTAGGATTAAAGTTTTTATTTTATCCTATAAGATAATTAAGTCCTAAGTCACTACAACTTAAGTAGCTTAACTGTATGTTGGTACCCAAACTTTTTCTATAATGGTTAAGGAGGAGGCACTTACTGAGTTTATTTTAAAGTTATGCTAGAAATGTTTTTCTTTTGTAGAGATGCTCTCTCTCTCTCTCTCTTTTTTTTTTTTTTTTTTTTTTTTTTTCCGTGAGGGCATTAGGCTGCTGATTGTAAGTTATTTCCAATACCACTGATCTTGGTATCTGCCAAGGGCTTCCTTGCCTTCCCTGGGCAGTTTTAGGATTTCACCCTAGTAGGGGGTATGAGGCACTGACCCCTTTATTCTGGACCCAAACTGCTTTAGAGCAGAGTTAATACCTCTCCCTCCCTCTTCAAAACAGCTACAGGAACTGCAGGCACCACATATGTGTGAGGCCACATCACTGCCCCTGAGGCTTCAACTATTTCCACCATGCACTATTACTAGCTACTAACAGCCATTTTAAGAGATCTCCTAGCCTGCAAGGTAGAATTCTGGGATCAGTTCCAAAACCAGAACTGCCAGTAATGGTGACTTGAATATTTTATTTGATTTTTGGTCAGTAACCTTGTCATTTAAATTGGACTTTCCAATAGCCTTAACATGGCCTCTGAGAAGTTTCCTCCAGAAAGGTCTTTAAGCTTTCGCTTTTCAATAAGTAAGTTCTTTACTGCTTTTCTACTGCTACTTTAAAAAAAAAACAACAACAACAAATAAAACTCTCAGAGTCTGGAGGCTTATCAGTGCACCTGCCACAGTTAATTTCTGTATTCTTTTCATACATTCCATCTGACACATACGAGTGCACTATAATGGCTTGCCTAGAACTGGTAAGAAGTGGTCTGTGAATGTATATTGAAAAAATGTGGGTTCATAAGTAAAAGCGTAACGCAGATATTTGTGTATTCTGTATTCACAGCGTAGGCTGCCTTTTGCTTTAAATGCATATTCATGTATCTTTGTGTGCTAAGAATGCATGTTAGCCCTTTTGAAAAGTAGGCACTATTCATACACAGTAGCTTCTTGGAATTAACTCATCTTTGTTAACTTAGTGGCACATAGTCCAAATTTTTAAAAAGCAAGACCCTTGAATATGCCAAGAGAAAATCTAAAGCTAGCAAACTTAAAAAACAAAACAAAAATTACACGTCGTGTACAGTTATGAATTTAGAATAGCACACTTTTTCCATTCAGATTTCATACATTTGAGCCAAATTCTTATACTCCATGTTTTAATTTTAAAAGGATAATTTTAATCCAAGATTTAAATCTTTGAAAATATCTTTCTTATAGAAAACTTTAATGCAGTTTTTAAACTTACTGATTTCTGTGGAAAACCTTTCTTTTCTATAGAAATACTGTAGTGCCCTTTCTTCCCATCTTGATTTTGTACATGTAAAGACAAATGATGATTCAGTTTCAATATTGCATGAACAATTGCCACTTTGTAAATTATATGGACAGAATGTGTTCTAAGGAAATTCGTTAGTAAATTTGTGAAAAACATGTGAGATTGTTCGAGACCTATTAGGCTATTCTTCAGTTTTGATGCTCAGTTTTACAACTTAAATGATTTTCTCCAGGACACGGAGCTCAGAATAATAAAGCTTTTATTAATGGTCTAGTGAAGATCTAGTTGAACATGGAAACATTGTAATTTACAAATGTCTCAGAAATTTCTCACTTTTATTTGCTAAGACCTGAATTTAATATTTGATATTCAAAAACAAGTTATTTTGAAGAGACAATGGGTCTCTTTGAGCTTAAGAAAGCTATGGACTATCTTTCCTTCAAATGCACATCACATGTCTGTGAACACTCAAAATGCTCATAGAATTTCAGGGCCCTCAGACGGCCAGCTTCCACCCCTGTACCCCCTCAGGGGCTAATGAACCCAAGTCAAAAGGCTGCTCTAAAGTTGTTCTGATAATGTGTTTTGAAATGAGGAAGTGATTAGGCCTCCACTAGAGATACTTTTGAGATGATGCTTACCACCTTCTGACCTGGAATCATTTTTATAACTTAAAGACTTTATGTAATTTAGTAGCAGGTTAGGGAATAGAAACCACACTAATCTGAAGGAATAACAAGATGATCAACACTGAATCTTCATGACAGTAAGATTTTCTTTCCTTGGAGGTATGAGGGTGTGTATGTGTGTGTGTGTGTGTGTGTGTTTGTGTGTGTGTGTGTGTGTCCTGGCGGTTATTTGGGGGCAAGGTACCAGATTATTTGCAGTGAGCCAAAAAAAAAAAAATATCCAAGAAGAAATAAATAGGGAATCCTTGTAATTAATCCATCTACCAAAACACTTGATTCTTTTTATTGTAGCTCAGCTATGACATTATGACATTATGTGGCTTAGTGTTATCAGTATACTACTGTCTTAAAATATATTTGTCAACATGTCCAGTTCCAACAACAGTTGAAGATGATGATAAATTAGCAAACTCAAGGGTAGTCCATAGTTGGCAAAAAATAAATTTGGTAGAAAGTTGGAGGAGCAGATGCTGAAGGTAGAAATGCAAAAGATGTTTTTTCTTCCTGCATAAATCACGGAGGTGTGTTCTGTTTTAGTGTTTTCCAGTCACCCACTAGAGCAGCTTCAGATTCCTCTGCCAATAGAACTCCACCCCCAGTCCCTTACCTACTCTATCTTCTTTAGGGAAGCATGTGGATTTCTTCACATCTGCACCTTACTATTAGGTAAGGGTGCTGCATCTACATGGAAGGCTCCCTGGGCCCTTGAAAAAGCAGGCAGAAACTCATCAAGGGGTTTGAAGTTCTTGTGAAATTTGATCCCAGTGGCTCATGACTTATAGTCAGGCATCAAACCATTTCCTACTTTTTCAGGCTGAAGAAAGTGGAAATATAACTGGCTGGTGAAGAAAGGAGAAAAGTCAGCCCCCTACCCCACCCCACACTCCTAGAAAAGTTTGGGGGTTTTTTTTGTTTGTTTTTGGTGTTTTTTTGAGACGGAGTCTCGCTCTATCGCCAGCTTAGAGTGCAGTGGCTCAATCTTAGCTCACTGCAACCTCCACCTCCCAGGTTCAAGTGATTCTCCTGCATCAGCCTCCTGAGTAGCTGGGACCACAGGCATGTGCCACCACACCCAGCTAATTTTTGTATTTTTAGTAGAGACGGGGTTTCACCACGTTGGCCAGGCCAATCTCGAACTCCTGACCTCAGGTGATCCACCCGCCTCAGCCTCCCAAAGTGCTGGGATTACAGGCATGAGCCACCGCGCCCGGCCTAGAAGAGTTTTAATGAACCTTCCACAGTAGTAAATGCAGAGACCACTGGTGGAAATTCCCATGTTGGATAGAAAAGGGCGTAAGTCCAGTCTAAGTATCTAAATGTGATATGCCCTTTTGTCACAGAAGTGTAAGACTTAAAGGGAATATTCTGACCTTCGTGTATGAATCTGATCCACCCATCCTGTCAGCTAGGATTATAATTTGAACTGTCGTTTCAGGAGCATGTGTTAAATCATATGAGTAAAAAAAAAGTAGACATTGAAAAGAAGACTTGGGAATAATTGGGCAGATAGAATGGGTTCCATGGATCATTCTAGTTGCCACTAGAAAATGTGAGCTCCTTCTTCATTTACCATGTTGATAATCCGGTGGTGACTTTTTTTTTTTTTTTGTAAATTGTATTAGATACCCCACAGGAATGTGACAATAATAGGATAGCTTTGGGGGCTGGTGATTTGAAACAGGGACTATTAAGTAGATTTTCCCCCATCCTCTAGGTTCCTGTAGTCTGTGCTCAGAACTTGGTTTTTGGCCCCTATTGTTTTTGCCTATTTTGATTTTCAGAGATGATCACATGGGGACAGTTAACTTTTCTTCTGCTGTGTTGCCTTAATGCTACTAGATTGTGTTGTGTTGTTGGAGTTTTCTGACTTCTTCCCTATAAAAAGATACTGAGAGCTCCATAATGAAAGAAGTTGTTATACTTTCTCAGAATATTCTGGACCACTGAATGCACTTCTAATAGAGCTTTAATCTAAAGAAGTTAGTTCAGTGGTTATTAACTGATTTTATTACAGGAGAAAAAAACTTTAACAAAAAGGCAGGGAGAAAAGTGTGAAGGGCATCAAGCAAAATGACAGGGGCTTCAAAAAACAACCAAAGACAAAACCCTATCTTCTGAAGACCAAAGGTCCAACTTTACTTACTGGCTGGCACAGCCTTTCTGAACTCCTTGAGTTTAGAATAGAGCTCCTAGAATAATAAGGCGGCCAAATTTAAAGATCAGTCAATACAGTAGGGACCTGCTATTGATCTCTCAGGCACTGAGTCTTCACATCCAGTGTCAAGCCCAGCCCAGCATATGGGGTGATATGAGCAGAAAACACACATCGGTGTGTCTTGATTTCTCGCAGCTGTGTAATGTGGCATGAGAAGTATGTTTTGGTGCCACATATTTCTCAATCTGATGCCTTTTTGTCTTTTTTTTTTTTTGCCATTTGCATCCTATTTCATAGTGCCAAAATGAATTTTTGTATCTTGTCTTGTCTTTGTCCATTATAAACTGGAGGATCACAGTTAAGCCTTCCATGAATTCATAGTTTGGAATCATTTACCTTACCATTATTTTGGATTTTTTTCTTATTACAGTGTCACTACACTGTATTCATGTGGGGGAACAAACATGTAGGTGCTTGAACATGCCCCACAGACACAGTTGTAGCCCTAGTATTTGTGACGGTCATTATTGACACAGTGCAGACTTTGCAGATGGAGCATTATGCTCTCAGAGGACTTTAAAAATATGTATATTAAGCAATTAACTTTCTGGAGTTGGAGTTATCAAATCTTGCTGGGAAATTAACTTCCAAGAGCTCTGAATTGGATGGAATTCCATCTGGCTTCAGAGAACAATCAGCCTATATGAAACGGAGCTTTGAAATGTTTTTCTTGTGCAGAAATACGAACTAGAAAGAAAAGTGCTGATCTAATGCTAAGTTTTCTCTGTGTACTGACTCAGTTGCCAGAATTATAATGAAAACTGTATTTTAGTCTAACAAATGTATAGAATTTTTTATGTAATAAATAAAATTTTATAGGAAAGAATGTTATTGTCTACTGTGTTGTAACACTTCCCCATGCCCAGGGTGGTGACTGATAAAATCATGGGCAACATCTTCGTTTCAAATTAGGTCAGTATGCTGCAAGGGTGCCCCAGAATTTCCCAGCTGTTCCTTTCTGTCTCTCGCAGCATGTTCTGGGGGCTTCGGAATAGCAACTATAAATGTACCTAAACCAATTTCTGAAGTACAAAGTTCATCCACTGCCAGGCCAGGCTTCATAGCTGGAGTCTGAGTTGCCGCGTGAATGCTAAGATTGCAACTGAACTCAATCATCAGGCAGAGTAGAAAAGCCTCCACTGGGCCGGGCGTGGTGGCTCACGCCTGTAATCCCAGCACTTTGGGAGGCCGAGGCGGACAGATCACAAGATGAGGAGATCGAGACCATCCTGGCTAACACGGTGAAACCCCGTCTCTACTAAAAAAAATACAAAAAAATAAGCCGGGCGTGGTGGCGGGCGCCTGTAGTCCCAGCTACTCGGGAGACTGAGGCAGGAGAATGGCCTGAACCCGGGAGGCGGAGCTTGCAGTGAGCCAAGATCGCATCACCGCACTCCAGCCTGGGGGTCATAGCGAGACTCGGTCTCAGAAAAAAAAAAAAAAGAAAAAAAGAAAAGAAAAGCCTCCGCTGGACAGTGTCCATCATGGAAGACATTCATTGTGCCTGGTTCAGTGCCCTGCACGTGAATTGGAGCCTGGATCTGTAATGAGTTTAGTGCGTTTGTGAAACTGTGTGGTGTGCCATCATTTAGGCAGTAGCTGTGCCCCATTTAAAGTTTAGAAAAATCAAGCTTTTTAAAAACCAATAATTTTAGGTAATGTTAGGGACGAAGGAAGGGATGTTCTTCTTAAGTGGAAGACCTTTTGGAATACCGTAAACCTCTCCTAATTTGTTTTGTTATTTTGGATTTTTCTTGAGAGGCTGCACTGTAAACTGCCTTTTATTAGCAAATGTGAGCTGATGATAGTCCTGGTTGTTTACACCATCCTGCCAAAAAGAGTTGTTACAGAATAATCGTGAGGAGTCTTAAACACTGGAGGAATTTGAGATTCTGTAGAATATTAACCGATCTGGACTGTTCTTTCTTTTTTTGAGTGGTTCTGATGCAGATTTACGTAATTTCTATTATATAGACCACCTAATGATTAAAGAGCCTGTGAAAAGCCTCACATCTGAAAGGTACCTGAAAGTCTTTTCTTTCTGTTTGACTATGGAAAGCGTACTCTGTATTTAACCTCAAATTGAAGGAAATAAAAATCTAGAGGATTCTTTCAGGAGGCACAAAACTTACACACCCTATCTTAATATGTAAGTAGTGATTAAAATTTTAGCTGCTTTAAATAGCTGTACAGCTCAAAACTCTTACACATGTTGAAGGGTTCAGAAAGAAGCCAGTACCTCGAGAGGCTCTTTGGCCTCATATCTTTGATCAGATGCTGTGGAACTAACCCAGTGAGTTTCTGCCTCTACCAGGGGTGTCCAATCTTTTGGCTTTCCTGGGCCACACTGGAAGAGGAAGAATTGTCTTGGGCCGCACATAAAATACGCTAACACTAACCATAGCTGATAAGCTAAGAAAAAAAAATCGCACACACAAAAAATCTTTTTAAAAAGTTTACGAATTTGTGTCAGGCTGCATTCAAAGCTGTCCTGGGCTGCATGCGTCTCGCGGGCCGTGGGTTGGACAAGCTTGCTCTACACATTGTTTTTTCACTTGTGGCAAGTAGTAGTGAAAATAAGAAATGCTTTATGCTTTTAATTTGATGTGCCTCATTTACTGTCCCAATTCCAAGAAAAATAATTTTAGCAGATTCACCTAGGTTAAATTTAGGATTCCAGAAAAAGTAAAGCTAAGCTATTAGACCATTTCATGGGCTTATCAGCAATTTCAATAGAAAACTTAAAGCACTCTAGGTACTTACAAGCTCCCTGGCCAGGACTGTCAGACTAGAGAGGCAACAGTAAGGAACTGCCTTCGAGGCAAAACAAAGCGGCTTTCAGTCAATCTCAGGTTGCATCCTGTAACCTCACATTGGGAGACAGGCTATTAGGTATTTAAGGTTGGTCAACTCACTCCATCTTCCAGAAAGGATTCTCACAGCTTACAACAAAATAAAACAATTTTAACACACACACACACAAGTTGTGTAATAAGCAAATTGAAAAAAAATTGAGAAAAGGAGATTAGCTATGTAAGAATCCCAGGCTAGGCATATGACTAAATTCCAAGCTTCCTGTTAGTCCTGTCAAAGAGGAAATCAAGAAAGGTACATATTTAATGTTAAATTTTAAAAAGCATAAATAAAAGTTCAATAGGAAGGACTGGGCAGGCATTCACAATAATGTAAATAATATTTAATACATTGGATTAATGTTTATAATAGTGAAGAAAGCAGGGGCTCAAGCAATGCATGATCTCATTTATATGAAATAAATTTTCTTAGACATCTTAAAATATAGTAGGTGCTCTCTCAGTCCTGTAGGCACTGGTAGTTAACTGGTTAATTGAAAAACTGGGTTAAGGAGGAGAATCATTGAAAATGAAAATTTTTGGCCAGGTGCAGTGGCTCATGCCTGTAATCCCAGCATTTTGGGTGGCCGACATGGGTGGATCACCTGAGGTAAGGTGTTTGAGACCAGCCTGACCAACATGGAGAAACCCCGTCTCTACCAAAAATACAGAATTATCCGGGCACGGTGTCACCTGCCTGTAATCCCAGCTACTCAGGAGGCTGAGGCAGGAGAATTGCTTGAACCCGGGAGGCATACGTTGCGGTGAGCCGAGATCGTGCCATTGCACTGCAGCCCGGGCAGCAAGAGTGAAACTCCGTCTCAAAAGAAAAAGAAGGCTGGGCGCGGTGGCTCATGCCTGTAATCCCAGCACTTTGGGAGGCTGAGGCAGGTGGATCACCAGATCAAAAGATCGAGACCGTCCTGGCCAACATGGTGAAACCCCGTCTCTACTAAAAATACAAAAATTAGCTGAGTGTGGTGGCGCATGCCTGTAGTCCCAGCTACTCGGGAGGCTGAGGCAGGAGAATCGCTTGAACCAGCGAGGTGGAGGTTGCAGTGAGCCGAGATTGTGCCACTGCACTCCAGCCTGGTGACAGAGCAAGACGCCATCTCAAAAAAAGAAAAAGAAAAAGAAAATTGTTTTAAACTACAACATGTCAATGTTTATTGGCCAATTGTTGACATAGGTATATTCTTCTTTCTGACTCCTGACTCTTCTGAAGTTGTCTACTGTCTTTGACATTAAAGACACCAATAATGTAACCTCCCGAAAGTGCAATAATATGAAATATTGATTTATTAAAATGGATTAAAAAATTTAGAAATGCTTACAAAGCCCACTGAATATAGGTTCCCAGGTTTTTTATAGTTTTTATAATTTCTTTGCAATGTTTGTATTTCTCACCTACACATAACTTGAGAGTAGTAGTTTTAGCACTTACCTTTATTGAACCTTTGCAAGGTATTCAACTTTTCAAAGGGTTAATTTTTATAGAAACTACTCTTTTCATATTCATTGTTTTTATCAATATACGTAATATTTAAATAATCCTGGCAGTAGTGTAACCACTACACCTGGCATAACATGTTGAAATATACACACCTGACCCTTGTTAGCACAACCTCCTGATGCTGAGAATGAGAACACAGAACACAGGCCTCTGAGTGGAAGCCCCTCTCCAGGAGCATTCAGCATACGACAGTCATCAGCCAGTACATTCTACAGAAGCTTGGAAAAGATCGGTTTATTTGGCAAAATGGTTAAGTGAAAGCCAGCTGTGAAAGCCATCTATTTACATAAAAATGATGATTATGGTTATCTCTGTTTTGTGGGACTATGAGTAATTTTAGCTTTTCCTTTGCTTATTTGTATATTTAAAATATTCCTCTATAGTTTTTAACAGGAAAAAATTATATTAAACACAAATAGCTGGGTAAGATAATAAAATGATAGTAACTAAACCAGTGTGATAATAGGCCAGTGGAATAGAAGAGAAAGTTTCCAAAACAAATCGTATTATTTATAAGGGATTATACTTAAAATAGAATATACCTAAAATGAATAAGGAAGGAAAGAGTCCATTTAATAAATTGTAATTTAGGACAATGGGCTTTCAATTTGAAAACAAATCTAAGTCAAATCTAAATGGATTTAGGATTTTTTTATTATTATTAGACCAGGGAAAGGTCAGGAGGAGGAGTGGAGAGGATCTGATAAAATTAGAAAGATTAGAAGAAATAATAGAAATGATAGACTTGAAATAATAGGATGATGGAAATGATAGGTGGGGATTAGGGAGATGCACGTCTCACATTTCCTGGAAATTGTGATGTGTGAGGCCCATTTCAGATGCATTTCCTAAGCATGCTCACAGCAGCGTGCTAAATGTATCCACTTTCATTCAACAAGCATTTCCTGAGACCTCTTCTGGTCAGCCAGAGTTATATTCTGGGAGCTCAGTTCTAAATACTCCCTGATCTTAAGTAGCTCACAGCCTAATGAGGGACGCAGAGAGCAGTGATAGTAGAGAGTGCTTTGGAGCACACAGGAAGGTGTTGAGGTCATTAGGAGAAACTGTCTCAGCTGAGTCTTGAAGGATAAGCAGGGATTAGCCAGATGATGAAGGGGTGGGAGGGTGATTCTACCCAGAATAGAAGCACTTTGGCACTCATATAGCAACATGAGGAACAGAAGTCATTCAGGATGTCCAGAGCAAAGAAGATGTGCGTTTGCACCAAGAGGTGACCCTGGAGAGGATACAGGACTCTTACATGTGTGTTCAGACCTAAAGTGTGTGTTGTGGGGAGCCTGTGACAGGTTGTAAGCAGAGGAGCAATCTAGCCATATGGAGACTGCGTTGAGAGTGGAAATCTAGAAGAGAAAGACTTGGGAGGAAGGAAGCCTGAGCCGGGGCCTAAGAGGAGGACTGGAAAAGAGCAGGATTCCAGCGAGAAATCCAACAGGCTTGGTGACTAATGAAATTGGAGGGAAAGGGAAAATAAATCATGAAGGCCTATACTCAGGATGACGTGTGCCATCTCTTCATTTAGAGATGGGGGCTTTTGCCAGATGGTCAAATTCATCTAAGCTCTGATTCTCTACTTCATTGAATATTGGAAATATTTACCTTTTCTGTTCCATGCTAACTGTTGTAAAATCTCTGTAGTGATAGGAAGGAGTCCATTAGAGTTAGAGGTCCTGAAAATATTTATCTGTGCCAGCAAAAAATGTTTTCCACTCCCTGATAATGATTTCTGGTTTTCAGCTCCCCACATAACAAAGGCGTGTGTCGCTTAGGTAGTTGTAGACAAACCTCTCAATGACTCCAACTCTACTCTTCTACATTGTCATGCTAACCATTGGTGTGCTTCTATGCTAACAAGAAATAACATGCAATATGTTTTTAGTGTCTGTTTATATATTTATGCTGCTTTTGTTTTCCAAGAAGGCATATATACAAAAAGATTTTTTTTAACCCCAGGCTGGAGTGCAGTGATCCCATCATAGCTCACTGCAGCCTCAAACTCCATAGCTCAAGCGATCCTCCCACCTCAGCCTCTAGAATAGCTGAGACTACAGGCATGCACCTTCACACCCAGCTTTTTTTTTTTTTTTTTTTTTTTTTGGAAAGGCAGGGTCTCGCTTTGTTGCCCAGGCTGGTCTCCAACTCCTGGATTCAAGCAATCTTCCCAACTCAGACTCCCAAAGTGCTGAGATTACAGGTGTGAGCCACCATGCCCAGCCCGAAAAGATTATTAAACTAAAAATATAAAAGCAAAGACATAAACAGGAAGAAACAAATATGCTGGACTCTGGGACTAATATGGTCACAGTGCATTGAAGCCTTAAATTCTTTCAGCTTTCTTAGCAACCTGATAGGAAAGGAAAACACAAAGATCGATAGAATTTTATTCTCTGGTAGAAGAAGGTTTATGCATTCTTCAGTTTACTGTGGAAGCAAAAATAACCCACATATGGCTCTTAAATTGGGATTTGGGGATGCTAAGCTGGGGAAGTCCCAGCATGTAATTTCCTGATGCTTTCACTGAAGTTGTTACCTCATACCTTATTTAGATCTGTTTCTACTATGAGTTACACGACATGGTTCTTGGGTGTAAATAAAACAGAAAGATAAGTCTTCATTTATTTCGGATACATTCACTGAGTTCTACATTAGCTAAGAATACCAGAATAAGAGACCCAGCCTCTGCTCTCTGAAAACTCACACCATATTTAGGAAGCAAAGGAGTAAGCAGATGATTGTAATCTAGTGTGCCAGCCACTCTAACAGAGTTAACTCAGGAGTAGCAGGGAGACCCACCTGAAGGTGGGAGGGCCAGGGAGGTGGGGCTGTAATAAGCAAATAAGCCTTTGGGGAAAGGGAAGTAGAGAGTGTTCCAAGGAGGAATAGCGTGTGTGAAGAAATGATGATGTGTCTGTGAATCTGTACTGAAGTGTAGGTGTGGGGACATGAAATTGGAGCGGTCAGTAGGGATCAGATCTCGAGGGTCTTGCAGGCCACCCTAACGGTCTTGATTTTATGCTGCAGAAAATGAGGACTTGCTGAAAGATTTTAACCAAAGGAATGTTTGGAGATATTTGCCTTTCAGGGGAAAAATTACCCTGACAACAGTGGGGAGTATGGCATGGGGTGAGTTGCTTCTGGGCCAGGAAAACAAAGTGAAGAGACCATTGTAAATATACCATGTGATTCAGAATGAGAATTCCAACTAGGGCACTAGCAATAAGAATGGAGAGAAAAGGCAGGAGAATCGCTTGAACCTGGGAGGCGGAGGTTGCAGTGAGCTAAGATTGTGCCACTGCACTCCAGCCTGGGTGACAGAGCAGGACTCATCTCAAAAAAAAAAAAAAAAAAAAAAGAATGGAGAGAAAGGGATATATTTAAAAGCTAATGGAGGGATAGAATCATCAAAAACGGATGATTGGTTGGTGTAAGGGGCCAAGTGAAAGAAAGACAGGAGTGAAGCGTGAATCTCCAGGTCCTGGTTTGCATGCAATGCTGCATTGGAAAATAATTTACTTTTCACCTGGAAAGAACCACTTTAAGATGAAGCCGTATTTACTTTCATAAAGAGACAAGATAAAATAACAGAAAAAGCACTGATGTAGGATTTGGAGTATTTGAATTTATTGCCAGTGCCTCCAGTCCAGTCATGGGTTGTTTGTCCTCTCTGCCTATTTTCTTGACTATAAAATGTTATATGCTCAGCCTGTGCTGTAGGACTACGATGATAAATAAATGAACTTAGGGGATAGGAATATGCTTCGAAAGCAGTTAAATACAACAGAGTTGTTATCTCCTTATTTTCTGATGCCTAAAGGAGACAGCATCGTATAAGGAAGAGAACAAAGGTTTGGCACTATGGATATAGATTTGAATCTGTCTCTGCCTCTTGCTGTAGAAGCTGGGTAACCTGCGAAAGCCACAAAAGCTTTTTGAGGCTCAGGATCTTCCTTTGTAAAATGGGAATAGTCATGTTTTATAGGGATTGTGTAAGACAATGATAATTTTTTCATTTCACTCATTCATTAGCTAACAGATATTTAATGAGTACCTACTACGTGTTAGAAGCCAAGAATATAAAAGTGAACAGAACAAGCTAGAGTCTCCACGCTAGTTTTATGTATAAAAGCTAATGGTGGCTAGGCGCGGTGGCTCACATCTGTAATCCTAGGACTTTGGGAGGCCAAGGCGGGTGGATCACTTGAGGTGAGGAGTTTGAAACCAGCCTGGGCAACATGGTGAAACTACATCTCTACTAAAAATACAAAAAATTAGCTGGGTGTGATGGCGGGCACCTGCAATCCCAGCTACTCGGGAGGCTGAGGCAGGAGAATCTCTTGAATCGGGGAGGCGGAGGTTGCAGTGAGCCGAGAATGTGCCACTGCACTCCAGCCTGGGCGACAGAGCAAGACTCCATTTAAAAAAAAAAAAAAAGCTAATGGTGGGATGATATGATTGAAATGGCAGAGCAGGAAATTCCAAAACTCCATCATTCCACAAAAACGATGATCAAATTGACAAAAACTGTCCAATCAATTTTTACCAAATTCTAGAATCTAATAAAGAACTTACACACCTAGGCAAATGCTAAATAAAGACATTTCAGTAAGAGCATTGAGGCATGTTAACTTATCTGCATACCATCTCCACTCACCAGCTTAGCAGCATCTGTGAAAGTGGTGGCTCATGTTTCTGATGTGGCTTGCCAATGCCCAAGTAAGCAATGTGTGGTTAGACCTTGTTCTCAAAAAAAAAATTGTGGTTGTGTGTTTTGAATTGTCTGGTGGCTCCCTGAATGATCAACTCAGGGGTTTATCTTTGTGTCACATGCCTCAGAAGCTTCTTAGGGTTGAAGTGATCTCCCAAGTGACATTTGTCAATGGCACTTAAAGGCTTATATACTAGCTGCAGCAACCTGTGGTGAAGAATAACAGATGCGGCAAACGGCAGACAGATGGAAGCCTGGGAAAGAAGAGGCTAGAAAAGGACATACACGGAGGAATAACAGCTTTCAAAAGCTCCTGCATATACTAGGAAATGTCCAAGGCCACACACATGCCCAGGGCTTGACACAGGAAGGACCTGAGAAGACCACAAACGTTCGCTTCTGGCTAACCTTTCGATGCAAGCAGGAAGTAAAGGCTAGAGCAGAGTTGTAAACAGTCTTGCTAAGGGTTAAGCAGTGCCCCCATAAAGAATGAATGTGCAAAGACTGGAAGGTGATCTCTTTTTTTTTGTGGCTCCAGGTATTTAAGGAAAACTCTGTCAAATCACTAGCTGACCATAAACTAACAAAACAGAGACTTCAGTGGCCACACACACACACACCAAAGAATACAGTCTCTACAATACATAGTTCAGAAAAGTCATTAAACAAATAAACAACGATAACCCACAATAAGCCAGCAACTACAAACCCTAGGGAGGAGGAAGAATCTGATTTCCAGAGTTGCCACATTATAATATGCAAAATGTCCAGTTTTCAACAACAAGAAATTACAAGGTACACAAAGAAATAAGAAAGTACAGCCTATTAACAGTAGAAATTAACAGAAACTGGCCAGACGTGGTGGCTCACACCTATAATCTCAATACCTTGGGAGGCTGAGGCAGGAGGATTGCTTGAGGCCAGGAGTTCAAGACCAGCCTGGGCAACATAGTGAGACCCCATGTCTACCAAAAAATAGAAAAAGTAGCCGAACATGGTGGCGTGCATCTGTAGTCCCACCTACTCAGGAGGCTGAGGTGGGAGGCTTCCTTGAGCCCACGAGTTCAAGGCCGCAGTGAGCTGAGATTGAGCCACTGCACTCCAGCCCGGGTGACAGAGCAAGACTTCATCTCTTTAAAAAAAATTTTTTTAAAAAGAAACTGTCTTTGAAGAAGCCCAGATATTTGACTTACTAAACAGAGACTTTCAATCAACTGTCTTAAATATGCTCAAAGACACAAAGAAAGTGAAGGACAAAGAACTAAAGAAAATCAAGAGAACAATGTTTTACCTAATAGAAGACATCAATAAAAATATAGAAATGATAAAAAAGGGAACCAAATAGAAAACCTGGAGTTGAAAATAACTGATATCAAAAATTCACTAAGAGGGGTTCAGTAGCAGATTTGAGCAGGCAGAAGAAAGAATCACCAAATTTGAAGATAGATCAACTGAGATTATTCAGTCTAAGGAGCAGAAAAAGAAAAGAGTGAAGAAAACTGAACAGAGCCTAGGAGACCTGTGGGATACCCTCAAGCATACCAACATACACAGAATGGGAGTCCCAGAAAGAGAAGAGAGAAAGAAAGGAGCAGAAAGAATATTTGAAGAAATATTGTCTTATAAGGTCTGGGCTATAAAGAAAAAAATACTTGAAGAAATAATGGTTGAAAACTCCTCAAAAGTGATAAAGACATGAATGCACATCTAAGAAGCTCGACAAACTCCACATAAAATAAACCTAAAGAGATCCACACTCAAACAGATTATAACCAAATTGTTGACAAAGAAACATAGAAAATATTGAGTGCAGCAAGAGGGAAGCAGCTCACTACATATAAGTGATCCTTAATAAGATTATTCCCTGATTTATCAGAATGAGGGATGATGTATAGTAACCCTGAAAGAAAAACAATTGTTAATCAAGAATCCTGTATTCAATAAAATTCTCCACCAAAACTGAAAGAAGGCCAGGCACAGTGGCTCACACCTGTAATCCCACTGTAATCTCAGCACTTTGGGAGGCTGAGGCAGGCGGATTACCTGAGGTCAGGAGTTCAAGACCAGCCTGGCCAACATGAGGAAGCCTTGTCTATACTAAAAATACAAAAATTAGCTGGGCGTGATGGCACATGTCTGTAATCCCAGCTACTTGGGAGGCTGAAGCAGGAGAATCACTTGAACCTGGGAGGTGGAGATTACAGTGAGCTGAGATCATGCCACTGCACTCCAGCCTGGACAACAGACCAAGACTCTGTCTCAAAAAATAAAAATAAGGCCAGGCACGATGGCTCACACCTGTAATCCCAGCACTTTGAGAGGCCGAGGCAGGTGGATCACCTGAGGTCAGGAGTTGGAGACCAGCCTGGCCAACATGGTGAAACCCTGTCTATACTAAAGATACAAAAATTAGCTGGCATAGTGGTAGGCGCCTGTAATCCCAGCTCAGGCAGGAGAATTGCTTGAACCTGGGAGGCGGAGGCTGCTGTGAGCCGAGATCTCGCCACTGCACTCCAGCCTGGGCGACAGACTGAGATTCCGTCTCAAAAAATAAAATAAAATAAAAACAAAAAACTGAAAGAAATCAAGACATTCTCATACAAACAAAAGTTGAGGAAGTTTGCTTCTAGTAGACCTGCCCTATGAGAAATGCTAAGGGAAATTATTCAGGAAGAAATGAAAGAACACAAGTAACTCTAGCTATACAAAAAAATAAAAAATAAAAACATCAGTAAGGAAACTACATAGGTAAACATAAAAGCTAGTATTATTGTATTTTTTGTTTGTCACTCATTTGTTGTTGTTGTTGTTGTTGTATTTGAGACGGAGTCTTGCTCTGTTGCTCAGGCTGAGTGTAGTGGCATGATCTCAGCTCACTGCAACCTCCACCTCCTGGGTTCAAGTGATTCTCCTGCCTCAGCCTCCTGAGTAGCTGGGACTACAGGTGCATGCCACCACATCTGGCTAATTTTTGTCTTTTTTAGTAGAGACAGAGTTTTACCATGTTGCCCAGGCTGGTCTCGAACTCCTGACCTCAGGTGATCCACCCACCTCGGCTTCCCAAAGTGCTGGGATTACAGGCGTGAGCCACCGCACCCGGCCTGTCACTCACTTTTTTTCTACATGATTTAAAAGGCAAATGCATAAAACAATAATTATAAATGTATCTGAATGAACACACAATGTATAAAGATATAATGTATGACAATAACAACATAAAGGGAGAAGGTGGAGCTACATAGGAACACAGTGTTTGTACATTATTTAAGCTAAATTGGTATTAATTCAAACTAAATTATTATAAATTTAGGATGTTAATTATAACCCCCAAGGTAACATTAACAAAATAACTAAAAATATACATTCATAAAAGGAAATGAGAATCAAAATAATACACTAGAAAAATCAATTAAACATAAGAGAAGACACAGATATGATATAAAGGAAATAAACAACAAAATGGCAGAAGCAAGGCCTTACTTACCAGTTTTTTAAAATGTAAATGGATTAAACTCTTCAGTTAAAAGGCAGAGTTAGTGGCATAGATTAAAAAACAGACTCCAACTATATAATATCTGCAAGAGACTCAATTTACGTCCAAAGACACAAATAGGATGAAAGTGAAAAGATGGAAAAAGATATTCCATGCAAATAGTCATCAAAAGAGAACTGGAGTAGCTATAGAAATATCAGACAAAACAGCCAGTAAGACAAAAATTGTTACTAGAGAGGACATTTTATAGTCATAAAAGGAACAATGCATCAATAACATATAGCAATTATAAACATATGTGGGCCAAGTGCAGTGGCTCACCCTTGTAATCCCAACACTTTGGGAGGCCAAAATGGGAGGGTCACTTGAGCCTAGGTGTTCGAGACCAGCCTCAGCAACAAAACAAGACCCTGTCTCTACAAAAAGTTTTAAAATTAGTCGGGTGTAGTGGCGTGTGCTGGTAGTTCTAGCTACTCAGGAGGCTAAGGTGGGAAGATCCCTTGAGCCCAGGAGGTCGAGGTTGCAGTGAGCTATGATCACGCCACTGCACTCCAGCCTTGGTGACAAAATAAAAAATAAGCATATGTGCATCTAATAAGAGAATCCACAGTACACGAAACAGAAACTAACAGAATTAAATGGAGAAATAGACAAATCAACAATAATAGTTGAGACTTCAATATTTCATTTTCAAAATGGATAGAATAACTAGACAGAAGATCAAGAAGAAAATAGAAGACTTGAAGAGCATCATACACCAACTAGACATAATAGACATCTGTAGAGCACTTTATTCAACACTATTCTTCTGAAGTGCACATGGATCATTCTCAAGGCTAAACCATGTTAGGCCACAAAACAAATCACAGTAAATTTTAAAAGATTTAAATCATATAAAGTATATTCTAGGTCAAAATAGAATGAAATTAGAAATAAATAACAAGGAAATTGACTCAAAATGTTATGAAAATAACAAGTAAATTACCTCAAAATAGACCTAAATATAAGAGCTAAAACCCTAAACCTCTTAGAAGAACTCATAGGAGTAAATCTTCATGACCTTGGATTGGGCCATTGTTTCTTGGCTATGAAACCAAAAACACAAGCAATGAAAGAAAAATAGATAAATTGGACTTCATCAAAATTGGAAAATTTTTGCCTCAAGGGACATAATCAAAAGTACAAAAAGACAACCCACAAAATGGGAGAAAATATTTGCAAATCATGTATCTGATAAAGGTCTACTGTCCAGAATATGTGAACAACTCTTACTACTTAACAACAAAAAAATAAACAACCCATAACGAGCAAAGGACTTGAAGAGCTATTTCTTCAAAGAAGTTTAAAAATGGCCATGAAGCACATAAAGAGATGCTCAATGTCATTAGGGAATTGCAAATCAAAACCACAAGGAGATACCACTTCAAACCCACTAGAATGACTATACTCAAACAAATAGACAATAAGAAGTGTTGACGAGAACACTCATACATTGCTGGTGAGAATGTAAAATGGTGCCACCACTTGGAAAACAGTTTGGCAGTTTCTCGATAAGTTAAACATAGAATTACCATGGGATGCAGGTATATATCCCAAATGATTGAAAACAGGTGTTCAAAGAAAAACTTGCTCACAAATGTTCATAGTAGCATTATTCACGATAACCAAAAAGTAGAAATAACTAATGTCCATCAGCTGATGAATGATAAGCAAAATGTTGTATATCCATACAACAAAATACTACTCAGCTGTAAAAAGAAATGAGGTACTCATACATGCAACAACATGGATGAACCTTGAAAACATGATGCTAAGGGGAAAAAGCCAGACACAAATGGCCACATATTGTATGATTCCATGTATATGAAATATCTAAAATAGGCAAAATCCATAGAAACAGAAAGCACATTCATGCTTATCAGGCACTGGGGAAATTGGGAATTACTGCTTATTGGAAATACGGTTTCCTTTTTGGGTAATGAAAATATTCTGGAACTGTATAGTGGTGATGGGTGCAAAACTTTGTGGATGAACTAAATACCACTGAATTGTACACTTTAAAATGGTTAAAATGGTAAATTTTATGTTATATATATTTTACCAGAATAAAAATAAAGACATACAGAAAAGTTAGAAGAATAGTTCAAAGAATTTTTATATATACCCTTCATCTACATTCCCTAAATGTTAGTATTTTAATGCATTTGCTTTTTCTCCTCATTTCCACTCCTCTATCCTTCTTCCCTTCTCCTTCCCCTTCCCCTGCTTCCCTTTTCCTACCTCTCCCTCCCTCTCTCTTGCTCTGTCTCCATTTCTCTCTGTCTCCATCTCTCTTGGTCTCTCTCTGTGTATGTGTGTGTGTGTGTGTGTGTGTGTGTGTGCGTGTGCATTTTACAGACCTTCTTTAAATTTTAACAGTTGTCCCACTAATGTTCTTTATGGAAAAAAGCTTTTTTTTTTTCTGGTCAACAATCCAATCTAGGATCACACATTGCATTTCATTTTCATGTCTCTTTAATCTCTTTTAACTTGGAGCAATTGCACAGTCTTTTGTTGTCATTCATGACCTTGATGTATTTGAAGAGTCAGGCCATTTATTTTCTAGAATGACCTTCAATTTCGGTTTGTCTAAAGCTTCCTCATGATTAGATCCAAGGTATGCCTTTTTGGCAGGAATACCACAGAAGGCATAACTGTGTCCTTCTCAGTGCATCATATCAGGAGGCACATGATCTCGTTTGTCCCATTACTGTGTGCTAACTTTGATCATTTGGCTAAGGTGGATCTTCCTGGTCTCTCCAATGTAAATGTACTGTTTCTCCCTTTGTAATTAATAAGTATCTTGTGGAGACATATTTTGAGACTATGTAAAAGTCCTATTTCTCATCAACTTTTCACATTATCTATTCACATTCTTCTCTGAAACAGCTATTACTGGTGTTTTCATATAATGATGATTTTCTAATTTCATCATTCTTCCTATATTTATTAGCTGGTGTTCTACTGTAAGGAAAATCTCTTCTCACCCACTTAGTTTTTCATCAAATAAATATTTATTCATCAAATAATATATATGTTAAATAACGTTTTAATTAGTCATCAAATACATATTTATTTGTTGAATAAATATTGATTATTCATCAAATAAATAAATATCAAATCCCAGATTGTTACTTTTTTCTGTTATCCTCATTTATTTTTATGCCCACATTGTCTCAGATTTAGCCAATGGGAGCCCATTCAAGCTGGCTCCTGTACTTTTGATCTGTCCCCATCATTCTTTGAGTACTTCCTTATTCACTGACGCAACCAGATGTTCCAAGCTCATCTTATGCTTTCCTGGTTTCAACTCTGTAATCAGCCAAGTCTTCAAGTGAGCCCTAGTTCCTTTTAATGGAAACTGGTATTTGGAAACCAAGGTCTGGGCACAATATGTGCTTTTGTGGTAGCTATTTGATAATAGCGACCACATGATATACAGCAGGAGAAAGGAAATGACTGCATTACTTTTTTTTTTTGAGATGGAGTCTCACTCTGTCACCCAGGCTGGAGTGCAGTGGCGCCATCTCAGCTCACTGCAACCTCCGCCCCCTGGGTTCTAGCGATTCTCCTGCCTCAGCCTCCCGAGTAGCTAGGATTACAGACACCTGCCACCACGCCCGGCTAATTTTTTTGTATTTTTAGTAGAGACCGGTTTTCACCATGTTGGCCAGGCTGATCTCGAACTCCTGCCTCAGATGATCCACCCGCCTCGGCCTCCCAAAGTTCTAGGATTACAGGCATGAGTCACCACGCCCTGCCTACTCTGCATTACTTTTTATAGGTCAATCCACACCTGGAATATAAATGAATGAGAGTGTTTTCAGAGACAAGCCTAGAGAAGATATCTACTGGGAAAAGAGACATCTTGGGGTAGAGAAAGGGAAAAGCAATGATTACTATATTCAAATATCTAAAGGGATGTTGTAGAAAAAATGGTGTCTATAGTCATGTCCTGAGCCCCTAAAGGGTTCTAATGGTTGGAAAAAGAGACTTCTGTTTCATCAGTCAATTAACATATGTTAATCACCTATTACTATCAGGCTGTGGCAGTGAGTGCTGATTGCCCTGCTATTGCTCTTCTGCCCATCTTTTTCATGAATATAACCCAGATATCATTCTGGTTAGCAAAATGCCTTACTAAAATACTCACCTTTCCATACTTCCCTGAAGCTTGAAGTGGTCGTATGACATAGTTCTGCCCAATGAGATATAAGCTGAAGAATACTGGCAATTTCCAAGAAAATTTCGCCTTCCCAATATAGGTGCCGCCCATCTTCCTGGTTTTCCCCTTCTCTGGCCTGTCTGGAATGCAGATGTGATCCTACTTGAAAGAACAAAAGACATATTACAAACACCAACAGAACCACAGACCAAAGATGGCAGAACCAAAAGATAGAAGGAGCCTGGTTCCCAGAAAGCATTCTTGCCTGATTTCTCCACAGTTGGGCTTGATGTCTTCTGGGCTTACTGTTACATGAGAAGAATGAATCCCTTTCTTGTTTAAGCCACTATAATAGGTTTCTGTTAAATGCAGCTGAGATGCAGTCCTAATCCAGGCACTATGCTAAGTCCTAGGAGGGGAAAGGCCACCTAGTGGAGTCACTGGCTTTTCCTGCCTATCAGACAGAATGTGAGGAAGACTTCCTAAAAACTGGAACACTACCAAGATGGACTTAACCCCAGGAGAAGACGTGATCCCCCTGACTACGAAGGAATGTGTGTAGAGGCTGGGTGGTACTTTTGCAGCTGGGATGTTGTAAAGCAGTATTGAGCACAGAGTGAAAGGCTAATTCAATGACCTTTAAAGTCTATTCCAGTGCAAACATTTTTCTAAGAGTCAGAAAGTTAAAAAAAAAAATAGATGGACTCAGGGCATGCTAAGCTTTCGCTGGACAGTTAGTGTTTGGTTTTTTTTTTTTTTGTATTTTTGTTTTTTTGAGACAGAGTCTTGCTCTGTCGCCCAGGCTGGAGTGCAGTGGCACGATCTTGGCTCACTGCAACCTCTGCCTCCCGGGTTCGAGCAATTTTCCTGCCTCAGCCTCCCAAGTAGCTGGGATTACAGGCACGCCCACCATGCCTGGCTAATTTTTTGTAGTAGAGATGGGGTTTCACTGTGTTAGCCAGGATGGTCTCTATCTCCTGATCTCGTGATCCGCCCGCCTCGGCCTCCCAAAGTGCTGGGATTATAGGCGTGAGCCACCACGCCCAGCCGACAGTTAGTGTTTTTTAGCTGTAGTCTGCATTTGGATCGATGATTTTCATTAAAGTTCCTAAGAATGCATGCTCCCTCAGCACCCCCTGGGTAAACATGTTATAGCAATTTTAAGTTTCTAATGAAATTTTTGTTGTAATTTATTTGTAGCAATCTAATTTATCCCTTTTTTTACGACTAGAATTTTTATTTATCTTGGATTTACAAAGTTAATATTGCCGTAAAACATAGCAGCATTTTAATTTTTAGATAGTAATAGATTTATTATTTTTATCTGTGTTTAAAATCATAGTAGTCTGGGCACCGTGGTGCACAACTGCAGTGCCAGCTACTCAAAAGGCTAAGGCAGGAAGATCTCTTGAGCCCAGGAGTTCTAGGCTGTAGTACGTGATGAACACACCTGTGAATAGCCACTGCACTCCAGCCTGGGCAACATGGCGAGACCCTGCTAGAACAAAAAAGAAAAAAAAACCATAGGAATAAGATGCATTTTCACCACTTTGGAATGTTTATGTCCCATAAACTAACCATTAGGGATCTGTTTATTGGCAGAGTTTCTGTAAATATATGAATGCTCTTGATGAGAAAAGGAGATTTTTTTTTCCTCTCAGAGTGGAAGCCAGGTTCTTTGGTGGGATACTCACCCATCAAACATAAGAAAGGAAAGGTCAAGACTTTACTGGGTTCTATGGTTGATCCCAAGCCTGAGATAGGAGGATGAGCTGCACAACTTTGTGAAGGTAGCCAAGGGTAACTGGGAAGTTATTAAGGGCACAATAGAGGTTTATTGAGTGAATCAACAAATGAATCCTTTGGCAGCCTGATTGTTTCTGAGTAGGTGATTTTGAACAGCCCACAGTTCAAAGATTTCTCAAAGCCCACAGTTTTGAGAAATCAGTGTTTCTCAAAAGGCATCACAATAGGGGGTGCAAGGAAGGTAAAAAAGGCAGCGTTTAAAACAGAAATTACTCAGGGTCTCACTTCTACCTGCTGAATCAGAATCTCTGCAGCCAGCAGACAGAAATCTGCATTTTAACAAACCCCAACCCAGTCCAGAGGATTCTGCTGTATAATAAACTTTGCTAACTATGGACACGCATGCTGTTCCAGCTGAAGTTTCCACGGAGGGACGGAACCTTAGAGGGAGGCAGGAGTTCCAGCTGGAGCAGGATTTTGGGGTGGTCGTCCTTGAGAGGGCAGCCATAGTACATGTGCTTGTCTCTAGCGACACCTGCTGGTTGAGAGTGACAATTAACAACCCCTGAAACTACACAGGTGTTTTCTCTAATGGGGCCTCCAATACTAAAGGCATTTAGTGTTTGCATTCTAACAGCGGTAATTAACATACCAAAAGCCCCAGATATGGGACACTAACTTTTATATGTGTATCCTCTTTTCACTAGCTTTCAGGTAGAAACAATATATACTTGAAGAATATTGTCCTTCGATTATCTTACATGTTTCTTAGAATGAATGTTCCCGTTTTACGTTCATTTGAAAAAAGATCAACTTTTGGATATTCTCTGAAAGGATTGACTGAATTTTTTTTTTTTTTTTTTTTTTTGAGATAGTATCTTGCTCTGTCGCCCAGGTTGAAGTGCAGTGGCGTGATGTCGGCTCGCTGCAACCTCCACCTCCCGGGTTCCAGCGATTCTCCTACGTCAGCCTCCCAAGTAGCTGAGACTATAGGTGCCCACCACCATGCCCAGCTAGTTTTTATATTTTTAGTAGAGGTTTCACCATGTTGGCCAGGCTGGTCTAGAACTCCTGACCTCAAAAGATCCACCCATCTTGGCCTCCCAAAGTGCCGGGATTACAGGCATGAGCCACCGCACCCAGCCTACTGAACTTTTTGACTAGGGAATTTGTTCTCTGTTATTGTTTTATGGAAATAAGAAGAAGCTAATTCTTATCTGACATCAAAGACTCCAGGCAAGATAAAAAAAAAAAAAAGTACCATGATATCTTAGAGAAAAATTGGTTCTTCTACTTTCCTGAGCACCTACTATATGCCAGTATTCCTCTCAGGGAGGCTCACAGTTGAGGGATGGAGAGGGGATAGGTGTGGTCAGTGTAGCAATAGAAGTGTGTATAATGTGTCACAGTAGTTGGGGGTGGGGGCAACAATTCATTCCATTGGGGTGGGTCAAGGAATAAATTGAGGCCTAGGGGAAAAGTGTGATCTTCCAAATCCTCCACAGACATCGCCAGATCTGAAGTTCCCAGAAAAGAGACTGGTGTGTGCTAAGGCATAAAGGTGTGAAATAGCATTTGCGGCATATGCACTTGGAAAGCAGTAACCTCCAAATAATATGTTCTTATAAAGTGTGAGGCTGGAAATGATAAGAGATGAGGCCAAGGAGTCAGGCCACGTCTCACCCACCTGCCAAGAAGGTTAGATTTTATCCTGTAGGTGGTGAATAACCACAGAATAGTTTAAATTTAAGATTTGCTTTTTATCAGGTTGTTTGTCCCACTTGACTATCCATGCACAAAGTATAGAACCTCCTATTTATCTGACAGTGGTCAAAACTGAGTCAAAAGGCCTAAGATTATATCTATTAATTGAGAATTTCATGCAGATTAAACACAAAAAGTCCCAGTCCCTTTGGAAAGTAACTTAGCATTCTGGTAATTACATTTGACCTGTGTGCTGTAAAAGGTTTTGGTTTTGGTTTTAGTTTTAATGTAGATATTTAACAGAGCTGAATTTCTGTGCCTTTTATGTGTGAGCTGCTGCACTGCCTCCTCTCCTTGTCCTAACAGGGACTCACACACAGCATTCCCCTCACACAGACCCCAGAAAATCCCATCGGTGTCCTTACTGGGGCCAAACACTGAGCACTGGTTCCTAGAACCTGAGGCATGAAATAAACCAATTCATTGTTTTCTGCATAATTTCACATGCTTTTAAAATAATAAGTGATAATGGATACATTACCATGTTGCCTTTCACAACAGGGTAAGATGCTCACTTTGTGGTCGTACACATGATCAGGACCTTCCCTCATGGAAGAAGGATAAAGAAACCTTGTTTCACCCTCCTCCCTCCTGCTTGGTCTTCAGCCATACCATGCATGTCTTTATGCACTTATCATGGTCTGGTGGAAAAGCATGGAATTTGGAATCTGATGGACTTGAGTTTGGATCTTGCCCACCCCATCACCTTGCCAAGTTCCTTAACTTCTCTTTCTTTACCTGGCAAAAGGAGCTAATAATGCCTTCTCTTGAAGACTGAGTGAAAAGTGTGATTATATCCTGAAACCAGTGCCCAACACACAGCAGATTCTTAATAAATGCTAGTCCTTTCCATTCTTTTTCTATCTTGCCCTTGATATCAGTGAGCCATCAGAAGGCCAGGAAGCAGCCAGGCATGGTGGCTTATACCTGTAATCCCAGCTACTCAGGAGGCTGAAGCTGGAGGATCATTTGTAGTCAGGAGTTTGAGACCAGCCTGGGCAACATAGCAAGATCTCATCCCTACAAAAAAAAAAAAAAAAAAAACAATTTAATTAGCCAGGTATGGTGGCATGTGCCTATAGTCCCAGCTACTCAGAGGACTGAGGCAGGAGTTTTGCTTGAGCCCAGGAGTTTGAGGCTACAGTGAACTATGATTGTACCACTACAGTCCAGTCTAGCCAACAGAATGAGACTCTGTCTCTAAAAATAATGATAATAGGCTGGGTGCGGTGGCTCACGCCTGTAATCCCAGTACTCTGGGAGGCCGAGGCGGGCGGATCACCTGAGGTCAGGAGTTCAAGACCAGCCTGGCCATGGTGAAACTCCATCTCTACTAAAAATACAAAAAATTAGTCGGGTGTAGTGGTGCATGCCTGTAATCCCAGCTACTCTGGAGGCTGAGGCAGGAGAATCTCTTGAACCTGGGAAGCGGAGGTTGCAGCGAGCCGAGATTGCGCCATTGCACTCCAGCCTGGGCAACAAGAGCAAAACTCCGTCTCAAAAAAAAAAAAAAAAAAAAAGAAAGAAAGAAAAAGATAATTAGAAGTAAATAATTTTTAAAAGACCAGGAAGCTCACAGCCTTCAGTTCACACTGCAACAGTAGTAATTGGCCATTAGATCATGCTGTTCAGTGTTGTCCTATGGGGCTTACCTCTGGAACAGGTTAATTAAATAAAATCACACTTCTTAGCTTACAGATTTTCTGTCTTGATGTCTTTGTAAAGATTTTGAGCTGTTTTGGGTATGGAGTCTGACAGTCATTAACTAGCCCCCACCCTTCCCACTCCCCTGTTGTTCCAAGAGGACCCCAGTTCTGTCAATATTTGCTCACCACTAGATGTGGGCCACAACCCTGAAATGATTCCCAAAGCCAGGCCTTCCTGGCCTATGGGTTAAGCTGCCCCAGTTGCACAGATAAGCAGCTTGTGCCTGACTGGCCTGCCCCCAAATCAGGAGAGAATCTCTTAGCCACTCGTGCTGAAATGTGACTTTCTTATTAGCAGATATTGTCTAACAGACTGTGGATTCTTGCTCATTGGCCAAGTCAACAGCCTAAAGGACCTTACTCTCAAAAATTTAGGTAAAAGTTAATCTTTGACTTAGAGGGACAACATTTTTGGGGACAGTCTTCATTGCATGTAGTTTGCTCTGTTTGCACTCATCTACTCTTAATGTAACATCCTGGAAATGCCAAGATGTTGGCAGATTGTAACTGAACAAAATTTGGCAGTGAACTTGACAATCAAAATAGAGCCAAGTGACAAAAGTTTGAAAAGACACAAAAGAAAAAGATTTACAAGCTGAAGAACGCTAGAGTTAGCATAGAGACATATGGTTATAGAAAAAAATGCGAGTTTGCAAAGCTGTAGCACAGAACAGCACTAATATAAATGCCTGCTCAAATGTGGCTGCAAGACAAAGCTGGTGCCTGATATGGGGAGATAATGATGATCCTGAAATATTACCCTGCTGTATTTGTACTTGAAGGATTTTAAAGTATGTTCAAAGTAAATTTTATCTGTGTTTAATAAGCTCACAGGATAAGAAAGGAGATTGTGCCTTCATTGTAGTTTTATAAAGAGAGTATCTTTCAAGACATACACAAGACAGGAAAAGGAAAACCAGTCTTTGGAAAGACCATATGTTGCAATCTGAGAATTAGAAGGTTTGAACATCTATATTCCGAGAAGCCTCTTATTTGCTTTGGAACTCCCAACTTACAGGTATAGCCAACTGTTAATTATTAATACAAATTAATTTAGTAATTTCTACCTTCTACCTAGTTCAGAAGTTCTCTTAGAAGGCCATGTATTTCTAGCTGGGCGCGGTGGCCCACGCCTGTAATAATACCACTTTGGGAGGCCGAGGTGGGTGGATCACCTGAGGTCAGGAGTTCGAGACCAGCCTGACCAATATGATGAAACCTCATCTCTACTAAAAATACAAAAATTAGCCGGGCATGGTGGCATGTGCCTGTAATCCAGCTACTCTGGAGGCTGAGACAGGAGAATCACTTGAACCCGGGAGTCAGAGGTAGCAGTGAGCCGAGGTTGCACCATTGCACTCCAGCCTGGGCCATAATAGTGAAACTCTGTCTCAAAAAAAAAAAAAAAAAAAAAAAGAAGGCAATATGTTTCCATGCTGCCTGCTCTGAGAGTTGAGAGCAAAATCTGTTGCTTCCTACCTCCCATGCAGTGCTCCTTGCCCTGTCTTCTGGAACAGCAAGTGCCTATGCCGTTCAGCAGTTCTTCGAGCATTTGATTAGAGGAAGCATTTGATTAGAGTTCTCTTTTGTCTGCCATTATTCAGAACAAATGCATGGTCTCCAAGCCCTCCCCATCCAGGATCCCCGACCCTGACCCTAGCAGAATGCGCCCTATTGCCTTGCATCACCCCAAGGTTTTGGCAGGAACAGAGGAAAGAGGCCAAATGTCCTATTTTACTTCTTGTTAGAGTTCTAGAAAGACCAAGGCAGTGAAAACACTTGATTAAATAAAAGTCAGGAAAATTGGTGACTTTTTTTATTTACAAAATGTCGGCGTTCTCTTGGGCATGGGAAATTAAAGTTACAAACACTCTTTCCTTTGTCCCGGAGACATGTGCATGGTGAGGTAAAAGGGAGAGTTACAAAGACTCTTTTCTTTCACTGAGAATCATGCATCCCTTTTTAATATATCTCTTTCTTTTCTTTCAAATTAAAAATGTGCCAGAAAGTTGAGCTGATTATGAGTCAGTGCCAAGCTTATCCAAAATGGATGTTCTAGGCCGGGTATGGTGGCTCACGCCTGTAATCTCAGCACTTTCGGAGGCTGAAATGGGCAGATCACCTGAGGTTGGGAGTTCAAGACCAGCCTGACCAACAGGCAGAAACCCCCTCTCTACTAAAAATACAAAATTAGCCGGGCGTGGTGACACATGCCTGTAATCACAGCTACTCGGGAGGCTAAGGCAGGAGAATCACTTGAACCCGGGAGGCGGAGGTTGCAGTGAGCTGAGATCGCACCATTGCACTCCAGCCTGGGCAACAAGAGTGAAACTCCATCTCAAAAAAAAAAAAAAAAAAAAAAAAAAAAGGATGGTCTAGATAGACGTGCTGTTGTGTTGCTTTGATGTCCTACTGAGTTAAGCACTGCAAGAGTCCATTCAGAAAGACACAGATATATAGCATAATTTTGATAAATAAAAACAATTCAGAAAATGTTGAATAAAGTAACAAATATCCAGAGTTCCATAGGTTTAACCGTATCATATATTTTTAAAAGGCAGGTGTTAAGCGTTTTAAAAACTATTTCACCTTAAAATTATTTATTTTCCTTATAAAACAATACCTGGAAGTGGTTCCTCTGGTTTTCAAATATATGATGTGATAAATGGAATGCATTAATATTTTATGAATTAGATGTGCTGGAATGGCATACATTGCTCCTGGAACAGCTATCATTTACTGAACACTTTTTCTCCTTTTGCCTAGTAAGCAAAAGCCACTGTGCTAAGGGCTTTCTAGGCATTATCTTTAAATCCTTGTAAGAATCATGAGACAGAGAGTGGTTCCCATTTTAAAGTTGAGATCACAATGACTCAGAAACTTAAGTTATATTACTAGAGGTCAGAGAGCCTCTGGCAAGTTATTCAACTAAGCATTAGAGCCACCGTCATTAAAAGAGTTCTGGATTACAGGAGTTTATATAGTAACCCACATTCAGAGAATAGAGCAGCGACACTCATAATCCAATCTTGCATTAGGTTCACAAGACTTCAGAAATCTCTTTTTTTTTTTTTTTTTTTTGAGACAGAGTTTCCATCTGTCGCCCAGGTAGGCAGAGTGCAGTGGCGCGATCTCGGCTCACTGCAAGCTCCGCTTCCTGGGTTCACGCCATTCTCCTGCCTCAGCCTCCCGAGTAGCTGGGACTACAGGTGCCTACCACGGCGCCCGGCTAATTTTTTGTATTTTTAGTAGAGGCGGGGTTTCACCGTGTTAGCCAGGATAGTCTCAATCTCCTGACCTCTTGATCCACCCGCCTCGGCCTCCCAAAGTGCTGGGATTACAGGCGTGAGCCACCGCGCCCAGCCAGGAATCTGCTTTGAATTCCTTCAGCACACTGGTGCATTGTCAGTATTTTTCAGTCTTGCACAGGCCTAACTTTTCCAGTAAGTTCGGACCTCTGGTAGAAGTGACTACAGTACTGAGCATACTCAAGTGTTTCACTGAGTGCCAGTTGAGAGAGGTGACAGCGTTAGGTTGGACTCTCCTACCTGAGTGATGACAATAAGGAAGTCCACCAACTTCCTTTTTATCCTCAAGGTCAGAGTTACATCTAGCAACTTAGGTACTCAAGCCAAGTAGTTAGAAATTTCCCCTTAAATCAGCAGGGTGGAAGCTGGTCCCTCTGTACTGCACAGAAAGGGGCCCTCATGATCTCATGATGCAGGACTCCTGCCCTGACCTTGGGCCTCCTGCTCCATCCTTTTTTTTTTTTTTTTTTTTTTTTTTGAGACAGAGTCTTACTCTGTAGCCAGGCTGGAGTGAAGTGGCACCATCTCGGCTCACTGCAACCTCTGCATCCCGGGTTCAAGCAATTCTCCTGCCTCAGCCTCCTGAGTAGCTGGAACTACAGGCGCGTGCCACCACACCTAGCTAATTTTTGTATTTTTAGTAGAGACGGGGTTTCACCATGTTGGCCAGGATGGTCTTGATCTCTTAAACTGGTGATCTGTCCCTTCAGCCTCCCAAAGTGCTGGGATTACAGGTGTGAGCCACTGTGCCCAGCCCCATCCTTTATCAGCGGCCATGAGACAGATCCCTGGATAGGACAGACCTACCTCATATGCTGGAGAATTGCTGTGGCCATTTGGCTAATTAGAGGGCCAAATTTGCATTGTAAAATGGTACCCACTAAATTATAATTCCCTGGGGGCAAAGCCTATTTTCAGTGTCCTACTTCTGGTTTGCGTGAAGTTGAACATTTTTTCTTACAAACTCTCAGTGGCACCACCAATTTAAATAAAGAGGGAATTTTAGCTTATCTTGTCTGGTGTCCAGAATCAAACAAGTTTGTGGGTAGAATATCCAAGTCACTCATGTTAAAAACTCTAGAGTTCTCCATTACACTTCCTTCTCCCCGATCATCTCCTAACCCCTAGCAAGGAGCAAAGTTAGATTTATGTCAGGCCCTGTGTGGGACATAGTAGGTACTTATTGAATGAACAAAGGAAAACTGGGACGGAAGGAAAGAGGGAGGGAGACAGAATTTGAGTGTTTGAAATCTACTCTTATGTTAACAGTGTGAGGAAACAGCTCTTTTGAAAGTCATTTGGAAACGTGTATTAAAAATCTCAAGAATGGGCCAGGCGTGGTGGCTCACGCCTGTAATCTCAACACTTTGGGAGGCCAGGGTGGGCGGATCACCTGAGGTCGGGTGGGCGGATCACCTGAGGTCAGGAGTTCGAGATCAGCCTGACCAACATGGTGAAACCCTGTCTCTACTAAAAATACAAAAATTAGGCGGGTATGGTGGCACATGTCTGTAATCCCAGCTGGTCCAGGAGGCTGAGGCAGGGAGAATCACTTAAACCCAGGAGATGAAGGTTGCAGTGAGCCGAGATTGCCCCATTGCACTCCAGCCTGGGCAACAGAGCGAGGCTCGGTCTCATAAAATAAAATAAAATAAAATCTCAAGAATGTGCACATTTTTATCCAGCAATTCTGTGTTTAGAAATTAAGGACATGTGAAAAGATTTTGCTGCAAATCAGACTATTGTTCCTTGTTATAAAATATTGCAGCCAACCTGAATACCCAACAATAGAGAATCAGGTGAATGAATTATAATACATCTAAACCGCTTCTTCCTCTAACCTTTCATATCTCAGTAAATAGTAACACTGTTAAACCAGTTGTTCAAGCTGGTAACCTAGAATCATTAAATTTCCCTTTCTTTCAACTTGTCATTTTGAGTCTTGCCATTTTCCAAAATATACAAGGAGTCATCTTATAGATGTATTAACTTATGAGAGCAATAGATGTCATCAAGCCTAAAAGCCAATCTATCAAGAAAATCTGAATGCTTTTAAGGGTTTACTCACCATGGATATAGAAGGAAACATTGTTCAAGTAACCAGGTAAGTGGGTGTTGATTCCAACATCATGGAAGATGAAATTAAATTAATTGAGAGCCATAGGGAAATATGGACAAGGAAAAATTAAAAATAATAATATAGGGCTGCATACATAAAACACATATGTACAGTATTGTACTTTATGGATGATTTAAGAGATTTTTCAGAGTTAATTTTGATTAGATGCAATCAGTACAATCTTTAGATCCTGAACACCAGGCTCCCTGCTCTTGCCCTCCTCTCTCTGGTCCTCTTCCATGGGGCAAGGAGTCCACCATGGGATTAAGGGGACAGGCCCACCCTAAGCCTAATACCACTCTCCAGAATCCTAGTACCCTAGAACTCCCTCCCAAGACAAGGCCTGTATGAGTTTCTTCTCCAGATACTTCTTCCTAAGGATGGATACTGGCTGTGATTGTAGCAGGAGATGTGGCTGGAGCTTGCCCTTGTGGGCTCAGGTGTCCACAGGTAAGCGTGAGCAGCCCCTCCTAGTGTGGGCTGGGGCGAGGAGTGGGAAGAGAATGGGAGCAGAGTCTTCCATTTGTCCTCTTGCCTCAGACCTCACTAATGTTAGTAGTCATCCTGAATGCAATGTTTACTGCTAACTAGTCATACTAACTAACTTTCTCAGTCCCATATAGGATATGATCCCATTAGATCTCAACTTCAACTATTATATCAACAATGGTGATAAATAATTAGTATTTTAAAAGATAAGCAAAAATAAGAAAATTGGTTGGGTACAGTGTCTCACGCCTGTAATCCCAGCACTTTGGGAGGCCAAGGCAGGCGGATCACTTGAGGTCGGGAGTTCAAGACCAGCCTGGCCAACAAGGTGAAACCCCATCTCTACCAAAAGTACAAAAATTAGCCAGGCGTGATGGTGCACACCTGTAGTCTCAGATACTTGGGAGGCTGAGGCAGGAGAATTGCTTGAACCCAAGAGGTGGAGGTTGCAGTGAGCCGAGGTCAGACCATTGCACACTCCAGCCTGGGCAACAGAGTAAGACTCCATCTCAAAAAAAAAAAAAAGAAAAGAAAGAAAGAAAGAAAACTAACTACACTCACATTTTGTTAACTTAAATAACCATGGTAACACCTCACAGATTTTTAAACACATATATTTGGAATATATGGTAAATATGTATGTAGTATATATTCATATTTTAAAAACAAAAATGATTGTATTACCATAAAACCTACTTTTTTCACTTAAAGTTATATCATGTACAACATTCTATGTCAGTAATACCCATCGAACACACTATTTTTGGTGACTAAATGGCATTCCATTATATAGATTCCTTAATGCACACATACTATTGTACTACACAGTACTAAGCTTTGACATATACATTGTTAAACATGGTGCATACAGTTTGAAGGGGGAAACAGGTATTAACCAAACAGGAAAAAATACCTGAGCATAATTTGTGATGAAATGTCGTAAAGGAAAAGAACAAAATACTATGAGAGAAAATAATAGAGGTACATAATGTAGTTGCGGAAAGATCTGTTTGAGGGAAATAAGTTTGGTCTTGAAGGATGACGAATTTGGCATGTAAAAAGCTGAGGAAGAACATTCTAGGCAGAGAGAACTGTATATTTGGGGCCAGGTGTAGTGGCTCACGCCTGTAATCTCAGCACTTTGGGAGGTCGAGGCGGGCAGATCACCTGAGGTCAGGAGTTCGAAACCAACCTGGCCAACATGGTGAAACCCCGTCTCTACTAAAAATACAAAAATTAGCCGGGCGTGATGGCGGGTGCCTGTAATCCCAGCTACTTGGGAGGCTGAGGCAAGAGAATCGCTTGAACCTGGGTGGCAGAGGTTGCAGTGAGCCGAGATCATGCCACTGCACTCCAGCCTGGGCGGCAGAGCAAGACTCTGTCAAAAAACAAACAAACAAACAAAAAACCCTGTATATTTGGGAGCCTTGAGGCAGAAAATTCTTACTGGAAAGATGGTCACTGGGACTCGTAATCAGCAAGGCTGGGACAGATGAAGCTGGAGAGCTTCCACGCCATGCAAGGTGTTTTGCATTTTCAATCTGTGTAAGTAACATGATCTGATTTATATCTTAGAAAGCTTACTCTGCCTGTTCTGTGTAGGAGAATGGGTTGGGGCTCTGATGTAAGATGAAAGACTAGTTAGATGAGTATTTCAGTAGTCCAAAGGAGATGATGGGGACATATAGGAGAATATTTGTGTAATTTGGCCTTTCTATATAAACCATTTAATACTTCAAAATAAAATCTCAAATTTTCTGGGCTATATAATGCATTACTAATTCCACTAGGTGGCAATGGCATAGTTGTGAAGCAACACTGGAGAATGTCCTGGGGTTACTCAGTGCACTGCATTATTTCTAAGGTTATATTTTTTCAATGTTTGACCCTTGATTTACATTGACATTTACATTCCCTTTAAGTTCCAAAAATGTAATATATTTTACAGTTCTTGTTTTAAAATTATAATTTCAATAACTCCCTTGACTGGGAGAATGTGAAGGTCTTTGCCCACACATTTTTGGTTCCCCACTATTTCTTTGCATCTACTTAAAAAATAACAATAATGAAATAATATCAATTGCTATTTCTTGAGCAGCTTTTAGGAGTGAGTTATCATGCTGAGTATTTATATACATTACCTCATTTACTCATGCAGAGTAGATGTATTTCTTCTCATTTATAGACAAGAAAACAGAGACTAGGGAAGATTGGTAATTTGCCCAAATATTATCTGCCAGAACCTGAATTCAAGCCCAGTCTCTATAAACAAATTATTAAGTGGATAAATTGGTAAATAAGCAAATAAATGAGTAAGTAAACAGGATGATTATACACAGGTGAATTGAATAAATTGCTCATTATAGATAAAATATTAGTTACAACCAAGTAAAAAATATAACCCAAAATATGCAAGCATGACAAAATAATATTCTCATGACCCAAAGGTAAAGACAAGATACATATTAAATAATTCCTATCTTCTGTTTTTCCTTTTCCTTTTTTTTTTTTTCCTCGAGACAAAATCTTGCTTTGTTGCCCAGGCTGGAGTACAGTGGTGCGATCATGGCTCCCTCCAACCTCCGCCTCCTAGGCTCAAGCAGTTCTCCCATCTCAGCCTCTGGAGTAGCTGGGACTACAGGCCCACCGCGCTCAGCTAATTTTTTGTATTTTTTAGTAGAGGCAGTGTTTCACCATGTTAGCCAGGCTAGTCTTGAACTCCTGAGCTCAAGCGATCTACTCGCCTTGGCCTCCCAAAGTGCTGAGATTAAAGGCGTGAGCCACTGCACCTGGCCTATCTTCTCTTTCCCTTAACATATTAGAATTTCCCAATGGTGTTAAAACTTCCTTGAAAGCAGGACCAAGTTATAATATTCTTTCATTTGAATGTACTATATTCTATTCAATAATTCTCCTATAATTGAATTCAGCAATTTCCTCTCAAAATTAAGGGATTATTAATAATGCTATAATGATCATCTTTGTATAGAAATATGATGTCTTTAACTTATTTTTTTATAGAGACAGAGGTCTCACTACGTTGCTCAGGCTGGTCTCAAACTCCTGGGCTCAAGCAAGTCTCCTGCCTCAGCCTCCCAAAATGCCAGGATTCAGGGGTGAGCCACTGCACCCGGCCTCAGAAATATGATTTTTAATAGTGGAAGTATATTCCCTTTTATTAAACTTTTATTTATAATCTTTTTATTATAGAGATATCTTTGCCACCCTGCTAATTCTTTCCTTTAGATAGACTTCTGGAAAGGGAATTACTACATCAAGTGGTGAAGGCACTCTATGAATGTTGATACATATTGCCAAATTGCTCTCCAGAAAGGCTCTACCAATCCTTTGTACTAAAGTCTATGAATGTCACCATTTTCCACATCCGGCAGATACTCATATCATCATTCTTATCACCCTTAATAATAACGGCAAAAGATGACAGCCCTTTGTTATTTTAATTTGTATTTTTTAGTAATTTATTAGTCCTTTATGTTTCCTCTTCCGTAAATTCTGTATTCATGTCCTTTGCCATTTTGTTATTGAGATGTCACCATTTTTCCTACTGTTGAATAAAAGATTTTTATGTATTAGGGATACTAGTACTTTTTCGGTCATATTAGTAGCAAATCTTTTTCCTTCTTTGTAGTTTGTCTTTTAATTTTGCTGGTGATAATTTTACCTATAATCTATACGATGTAAATTTTTGATAATTTCCTTAAGCCCCCAAATCAGTAAATTTATTGATAATTCCCTTACGCCCCCAAATCAGTTAAATAGTTACCTATATTTTCTATTTTTAAAAAATTATTTTCTTTTATAAATTAAGATACAATTTATATTCTATTTTTAATGGTTTCCTTTCACTTTTTATACTTATTAATAGCTAGAAATAATTTTGTGATATAATATGGAGTCAGGCCCATTTGTTATGCAATTTATTCCTTCCCCCATCAACTTGTGTGGATATTTTGTCACATGGAGTAGATCTATGATATTCTAAGAAGTATAGTTGTTCAGAGTTTAGACTCTGTGATCAACCACATCTGGGTTCAGATCCTAGCTCTGCCATCTTTTTGGTCCTGGGCAAGTTACTTAGCCCATCTAATTCTCAGTTTCCCCATCTGTAAAAGACTGATTGTTGGGAGGATTCCATTATCCTGAGTATGCAGAACAGTCAGCATGGGCTGTGCTACCTAGGAAACATTTAGTACAGTATGCATTCACTACTAGAATTATGACTATGATATCGATGAAGTTATTCATAACTTTTTTTTTTGAGATGGAGTCTCGTTCCCATTGCGCAGGCTGGAGGGCAGTGGCGCAATCTCGGCGCCCTACAGCCTCCGCCTCCTGGGTTTAAGCGATTCTCCTGCCTCACCCTCTGGAGTTGTAGTAGCTGGGACTACAGGCACGCGCCACCACGCCCAGCTAATTTTTGTATTTTTAGTAGAGTCAGGGTTTCACCATGTTGGCCAGGATGGTCTCGATCTCCTGACCTCGTGATCCGCCTGCCTTAGCCTCCCAGAGTGCTGGGATTACAGGCATGAGCCACCACACCCGGCCGGTTATTCATAACTTTAATAAATTCGGATATTCTTGAATGGTGCAGGAATACTCACTTCAAACTTTTAATGAGTTACTGGGCATATGGTCAAAAAATAAAACAAAGCTGCATTCACATCTCCACAGTGGCTGTTTCCTTGTCTCACTCACAGGTAAGTGATACGCTTCCACATCCACAGGGCACACAATTCGTATCTTGCCTTAAAAGGAAGAACTGAAAGGATATAAAACCAGATTATCTCAAAGGTTAGAGTGATTTAGGAGTAGGGCTTTTCTGTATTACTTTAATCTTTTTGGTTTGTTTTCGTTTTTGTTTTGAGACGAGGTCTGGCTCTGTCATCCAGGCTGGAGTGCAGTGGCACGATCACAGCTCACCGCAACCTCCGCCTTCTTGGCTCAAGCCATCCTCCCACCTCAGCCTCCCGAGTAGCTGGGACTACAAGTATGTGCCACCGTGCCTGGCTAATTTTTGAATTTTCTGTAGAGACAAGGTTTTGCCATGTTGTGCAGGCTGCTCTCAAACTCCTGGGCTCAAGCTATCCTCCTGCGTTGACCTCTCAAAGTGCTGAGATTATAGGCATGCACCACAACACCTGGCCCTTCTGTATTACCTTAATTTTTGACAGTAATTATGCCTACTGAGGGGAAAACAATAAAGATGTACCCTTGGAAAAAGTGCTTACCTCAATGAAGTTACAGATTAATCATCATCCAAGATTTAGAATTTATTGCAAATAGTAAAAACATTAACACTTAAATCTTCAAATACGGAGAAGCCTTTTAGGAACCATTTCAAGGTATGCAGAAATTTGGTGTGATCTCAATTTTATTTAAATCTTCTTTCATATTTCTTTATGCATGTGTATACCTTAATTATAGGTTGTAAAATTACAAGTATATATATATATTTTGAGACAGGGTCTCATTTTGTTGCTCAGGCTGGAGTGCAGTGGCATGATTACAGCTCACCACAGCTTTGACCCTTCCAGGCTCCTCCTGCCTCAGTGATCCTCCTGCCTCAGCCCCCTGAGTAGCTGGGACTACAGGCATGTGCCGCCAATGCCCGGCGAATTTTTAAATTTTTTGTAGAGACATGGTCCCTCTATGTCTCCAGCTCCTTGGCTCAAGCAATCCTCTTCCCTTGGCTTCCCCGTGCCTGAATTACAGGCATGAGCCACCACGCCTGGCCTAATTATAGTTCTTATGATGTGGAGCTCAATCATCTATTACTAAATTATTTCATAGTTATTTTCTTTCTCTTTTTTAAAAAATTAAGATATCATTAACATATCATAACACTGACCATTTTAAAGTGTTTACTTCATGGTTTTTGGCAAATGCACAAAGCTGTGCAACTAAGACCACCACGTGACTCTAGAACATTTCATTGGCCCAAAGAGAAACTCCATGCCTTTTAGCATTCAGTGCCTATTCCCCTCACCCAGCCCCTGGAAACCACTATTCTACTTTATTTTGCTGTGGATTTGCCTATTTTGGATTCACGTGAAAGAAATTATACAATATGTAGAATTATTTTTGTCAGCTTTTCACTTAGCATGTTTTCAAGTTTCAATAATGTTGTAGCATATACCAATATTTCATCTCTTTTTATGGCTGAATAATGTTCTGATGTGTGATATATTATATTTCGTTCATTTATTCATCAGTTAATGGATACTTAGGTTGGATTTGCACCTTTTCGCTATTCTGAATAATGCTGCTATGAGCATTCGTACACAAGTTTTTGTGCGGACATACGTTTTCAATTTTTTTGGTTATATACATAGGAGTGGAATTCCTAGGTCATATGGTAATCCTGTATTTAACTTTTTGAGGAATGCCAAATTGATTTACACAGCAGCTGCCCCATTTTACATTCCCACCAGCAATGTATGAGGGTTCCAATTTTTCTACATCCTCGACAAGTGTAAGTTTCCATCTTTTTGATTATAGACATCCAGTGAGTGTGAAGTTGTATCTCAGTGTGGTTTTGTTTTGCATTTTCCTTATGACTAATGATGTTAAGCACCTTTTCATACATTCATATGATGAAGTCAAATTATCTGTCTTTTCCTTGGTTGCTTGTTCTTTTGCTATCATGACCCAGAAATCATTGTTTAATCCAAGGTCATACATATTTAGCCTTAAGTTTATCTTCTGAGAGTTGTATAGTTTTAGCTCATACATTTAGGTCATTGATCTATTTTGAATTAATTTTTTATATGTCATATATGGAGTATATGTAGGTGTATATGTATGATATATTTGTAGATGTCCAACTTTCTTCTTTTGCATGTGGATATCCAGTTGTCCCATTTGGACAACAACTATTTTTTTCCAAATGAATGGTCTTGATATCGTGTCAATGTCCAAATCAATTGGCCATAGATATGTAGGTTTATTTCTAGATTTGCAATTCTATTCCATTGGTCTATAGGTCTTAGTTGAGCTCTTGATAAACACTGGCATGAGATGAGTATATTTCATTCTCTAACAAGTGCCTGGAGTATAGCTGAACACTAACTGGCCCATGCTGCTTACCTGTCAGCTGACGTGAGTAAGAGATTGACAGCCTCCTCTGAGACATGAGGATCATAAAAAGGGCATGCGCCTGAAAATAGTTTGTACCTCTGATCAGCTCCAAGAGTCTCCATAGAGACAAAAAGACAAATAAGGTCCAAATTCCAGTCCATATAGCTTGGCTAAAATAATCTGAAGCCTAGTAATTTTTAGGCGGGTATAACTCATACACCCATCTCAGCACCCTCAAAATCACCTGATAAATATTTATGGAGTCCCTGTTCTGTGCTGTGTACAACAAAGCAGCTTTAATTTGAGGATTTTATTTCCTGGCATTCTTCCAACAAACTACTTGCAGCAAAGTTGCCAAAGACAGTAAGCTGATTGTATGAAGGTATCATTATTTATTTATTCATTGAGACAGGGTCTCACTCTGTTGCCCAGGCTTTAGTGCAGTGGCGCAATCTTGGCTCACTGCAACCTCTGCTTCCTGGGTTCAGCAATTCTTGTGCCTCAGCTTCCTGAGTAACTGGGATTACAGGCATGCGCCAGCACTCCTGGCTAATTTTTTTATTTTTAGTAGAGACGGAGTTTCACCATTTTGGCCAGGCTCGTCTCGAGCTCCTGACCTCAAGTGATCTGCCCACCTCAGGCTCTCAAACCGTTGGGATTACAGGGGTGAGCCACAGCATCTGGCCTGAAGTTACCATTGTTATAGGCCAAAAACAGTTGAATGGTGGCTCTTATTTTTGAAAAGTTGATTTATAGCCCTTCTCTTTGTCAATAATTAGCCAGTAGGCCAATTGTCTCTTCAAGCCACTCCTTGCTAAAGGTAATACAACCTTATCATTTGTGTATAACGGAATGTTTGGTCCTTCTGTTTTGCTTTGTTGAAGGTAGGAGTGGCAAGATATCTGCAGGATTGCATTAAATTTATCCAAAATGATATTAGGTTAACATGCAAGTTGTAAAGAAGGGAAGCAGAGACAATTATTCCCTGGGCCTGGAAGCTTCATCCTTCTGCCTTTAGGGACCAAAGCTTTGTTGCCATATGGTCTGCCATAACAATCCAAGATTGATCCCTTTCTTCCTGTTTACTGGTGCCAGAGATCCTAGAATAGCAAGGTATAGTTTGTGTCTGGTAATGTTTAATCTTGATGACAGCTGGCACAAGAAACATAACCCTGAACCTTGGAACAAAGATGGTTTTCTGCTCAGTGCAAGTACTATTGCAGCGTTATTACAGCAAGCTCAGAAAGACAGCCAGACTTCTGAATTACATTATTCCTTTTTAAGTTGCTAAAATTGAGGCTGAGGCAGGAGAGTTGTTTGAGGCTTCCATTTGACACTGTAAAAAATAAGAACTTCAGTTCATCAAAAGACACCATTAAAAGAGAGAAAAGGCAAGCCACAGACTAAAAAAGGATATTTGCAAAGTACATATTTGGTAAAGGACTCCAAACTAAAATTTATAAAAACTTTTACAAATCGCCGGGCGTGGTGGCTTACTCCTGTAATCCTAGCACTTTGGGAGGCCGAAGCGGGGTGGATCACCTGAGGCCAGGAGTTCAAGACCAGCCTGGCCAACATGGAGAAACCCTGTCTCTACTAAAAATACAAAAATTAGCCGGGTATGGTAGTGTGCGCCTGTAATCCCAGCTACTCGGGAGGCTGAGGAAGGAGAATTGCTTGAACCCAGGAGGTGGAGGTTGCAGTGAGCCAAGATCGCACCACTGCACTCCAGTCTGCGCGATGGGAGCGAGACTCCATCTCAAACAAACAAACAAACAAACAAAAAACTTTCGCAAATCAGTAAGAAAAAGGCATCCCAAATGGATGAAAGATTTAAATGGGTACCCCACAAAAGGGGATAGCCAAAAGGATAGAGCATATGAAATGATGCTTAACATCTTCAGACACCATCCCCTACTCTGTACAGTCAGGCAACTGCCTTTTTTCATGCTCAGCAGACAGAAAGGTATTCTCTGAAGAAGTTAAGACAGATCTTAAGGGAGGAGCATCCAAAACAGAGGTATCATATTAAGTCAGGGGGATTAAGATACCGCACTCCCTCCCACTGCCCCTGCCACCCCACTCCCCCGCCGCCCCTGCTTCACCCCTCCACTGCCCAACCCATCTCCTAGAATTCTCACAACCAGGCCTTTACCCACCAAGCAGGAAACTGAAAAATATTCTCCAGGGAATCTGACCAGCCCAAAGGAAAATGCCTAAAGATGCTCACACAGGGGGTTCTCTAGCTAGAAAGTCCAATCAAGTCATTATACAATGAAGCATTTCAATGACAAGATCTACCCACGAATAAAAACTTCCAATTAATTTTAGTGCTGCTTTCTTAAATAAGAATTACCAGACCCTTGGGGAAAGTCTCTACCATGAAAGACAGACATCAAAACAAAGAGAAAGACAACAACAAAGCAACTTAGAGGAAACAGACTATAAGGTAGAAGAAAACTGTAAATTACTAAACTCAGATAATAGAGAGGATTGTAATAAAAAAACTAGTTTGCTATTTAGGCTGGTCGGTGGCTCATGCCTGTAATCCCAGCACTTTGGGAGGCCAAGGCGGACGGAACATTTGAGTTTAGGAGTTTGAGACCAGTTTAGCCAACATTGTGAAACCCCGTCTCTGTTAAATAAATACAAAAATTAGCTGGGCATGGTCATGCATGCCCGTAATCCCAGCTACTTGGGAGGCTGAGGGAGGAGAGTCATTTGAACCCCTGGAGACAGAGGTTGCAGTGAGCCGAGACTGCACCACTGCACTCCAGCCTGGGTGACAGAGCGAGACTCCATCTCAAAAAAAAAGGAAATAAAATAGTTTGCAATTTAAAAGAGGAAGATTCAGAGAACAAAAAAATTTAAAATAGAAAAAAGTGTAAAATTCATAGAAGGGTTGAAAGATGAATTTGAGGAAGACTCTTAGAAAGTAGGGCAAAAATAAGATGGAAAAGATAAAAGTAGAGATTCATTCCGGGGGATTCAATATCCATATAATAATTCCTTTACACCATACATTTATAGAAGGAAAACTTGTTTGGACCAGTTAATTAGATGTAGTCTTGGACTTTAAGATGGAGAAGGATGTTCTGGGCTCCCAAGGGATCTGACACAAACAGAAGATTCAGGAAGCTTTGAACTGAATCTTCCAGTCACTCATTGGATGAGCTAGATTATGCCGTGAGTTTTCATGTTCAAGGATAGTAGGAAAGACACAGCATCCAAGTGTAATGAAATCACATTTATCAGACTGTATACTTTAGTCTTAAGGGTTGCATTTAGCTTTTTAAATAATATTTTAAAATTTAAAAATAGGAAGAGATCCAGGCACAATGGCTCATGCCTATAATCCCAGCATTTTGGGATGCCAAGATAGGCGGATTGCTTGAGCCCAGGAGTTTAAGACCAGCCTAGGCAACCTGGTGTAATCCCATCTCTACAAAAAATACAAAAAATGTAACCAGGTGTGGTGGCACGGGCCTGTAGCCCCAGCTACTCAGAAGGCTGAGGTGGGAGGATCCATTGAGCCTGGGAGGTCAAGGCTGCAATGAGCTGTTATCATGCAACTGCACTGCAGCCTAGGCAACAAAGCAGGAGTCTGTTTCAAAAAACAAAACAAAACAAAAAAAAAAAAGGAGGAAAGCTGAATATAATATAGTCTCCTGGATAGGATTGTGGAACTGAAAAGGACATCAGAGAAAATTAATGAAATCTGAATAAAGTATGTGTTATGTCTGTGCCTAATTGAAGAGACTACCCAAACAGGCTAAGTGTGAGCAGCAAGGCTGTTGCAACAAGGCTGGGTGCAAGTGGGCTGAGTCCGAGAAAGGAGTCAGCAAAGAGTGTTGGGAGTGGAACTGGTTTTATAGGTTTGGGGTAGGTAATGGAAAGTTACAGTTAGGGGCTGTTTTTTGGACAGGGGAAGAATGTCACAAGGTGCATAGTCATGAGGTGGGGGGAGGTCACAAGGCACGATATCACAAGGTCGACTGATTAGTTAGGGCAGGGCAGGAACATATCACAATGGTGGAATGCTGCAAAGTTGGTTAATCAGTTAAGGCAGGAACTAGCTGTTTCTTTTTCTTTAGTGGTTCTCCTGTTGCTCCAGGCTTTGTGACTCCAGGAGGCCTGTATGTGTGGGTCAGAGGGGTCACAATGGCTCGACCATGGTGTAGCCTGTTGAGAGGACCTTACAGTATGGAGTTTAGCTAATAGCAGTGTACCAGTGTTGGTTCACTAGTTGTGACAAATATATCATAGTAATGTAAGATGTTAGCAATAGGGGAAACTAGGCATGAGGTAGATGGGAACTCTATATTATCTTTGCAACTTTTCTGTAAACCTAAAACTATTCTAAAATTAAAAAGTTTATTTGGCTGGGCGTGGTGGCTCACGCCTGTAATCTCAACACTTCGGGAGGCCAAGGCCTGCGGACCACCTGAGGTCAGGAGTTTGTGACCAGCCTGGCCAATATGGCAAAACCCCATCTCTACTGAAAATACAAAAATTGGCCTGGCATGGTGGTGTGCGCCTGTAATCCCAGCTACCCAGGAGGCTGAGGCAGAAGAATCGCTGGAACCCAGGCGGCAGAGGCTGCAGTGAGCTGAGATTGTGCCACTGCACCCCATCCTGGGTGAGAAAGCAAGACTCTATCTCAAAAACAGAAAACAAAAAAAAGTTTATTAAATAGAAAAATAGGAGGAAAGAACTTTTATCTTAACATCAGACAAATCACAACTTTGGCATAAGCCTAGTGACTAGGCCACATGATCATAACCAAGCAACAATCAGTCAGATGTCAGTCTAATCATAGGTCCTGTTATTTTCAGTAAAGGGGAAAAAATCATGAAAGTTGAAACTGCAAGTCAAAGTATGTAAAATCATAAAAATGGAGTAGCGTGTGGCATGGAGCTTCTATAGTCCCAGCTACCGAGGAGGCTGAAGTGGGAGGATTGCTTGAGCCCAGGAGTTTGAGGTTACAGTGAGCTATGATCATGCCACTGCACTCCGTTCGGGGTGACAGAGGAAGACCTTGTCTCAAATAAATAAATAAATAAAATGAAACTGGTAAGACAGCAAAGTTTAGGTGAGGTGTTGTGGAAAATAGGAAGCCATTGCTAATTTCTTGAGTGAGGAACTAATGTGGCGAAAGCAACAATTTAGGGATTTATTCTATCAGCAGCCTGCCAAATGGATTGAAGTTGGGAAAAATCTGAGGCCGGGGGATCAGCAATAAGTGGCACGTACTAAAATCTCAAGAATAAAACCCTAAAATGAAACTTTTGGTAAGGGTTTCAAGCAACGTTATTCTTAGTGCCACATGTGACCTGTTTTAAGCACCTGGAGACAAGCAGAGCCTCTTGTGGAGACAGATGTATCAGATCTTCACCTGACTTCATTTGATATCTGAATCATAGAACTATTTCATACCCCCTTCTTCCAAGTCCAAGCTCTCCTGGCATCTTGTGGTTAGGACTGTATCTCGTTACTTCTGCTTATCCTGCAGTGGCTCTGGGCTTGTTTGATAATCAAACTGAGCCGGCCCTTATTTTTAATTTTTAACCCATCCTAATGGGGCTTTTTTATTTGGAAATGATTTTAAACTTATAGAAATGCTGCAAGAATAAGAATGGTACATAGAACACCATGCTACATATTGTTACACCTCTGTTAAACATGTATTTTACCCCATATGCTCATCCATTCTCTCTCTATATCTATCTAGATCTCGATATCTATCTATAGATATATCTATATCTATATGTATAGATAGATATCTAGATATATCTAGCTATTGAGATCTAGATCTAGATATAGATGTCTATAGATATAGATATAACTAGCTATTGAGATCTAGATAGATAGTTGTCTAGATAAGTATCTAGACAGATTGATATAGATATATACAGAGAATATTAGGTCCATACTCTCTCTCTCTCTATATATATACACACACATATCTATTAGGTATATAGTATATACCTAATACTTTTGGATCACTTGAGAATAATGTATATACGTCATTGCCCTTTAGTCCTAAATACTTCAATGTGTATTTCCTAGGAATAAGAATATCCATTTAAAAGAATCATGTTATACTTCTTATCTTCAGTTCATTTACTTAGTCACTATTTCTTGAATTGAACCAAACTATTAGAACACCCATTATCCTGGTCTGATCTGACCCACTGCTAACGGAATTACAGGAGTGAAAAATTCAAAGTTTCATTTGCATTTCAGGTTTTGGTCTTTGAGAGTACCATAGAATCAAGTTTTGCAAATCAGCTTTGAATTTGACTCACCATGGGTTTGTTTGATTCAGTTCAACTGTTCTAAAAACCTCTTTGTCAAAGAACAATACTAATGCCAACAGTGGCAAACACTAATCTAGCCTTCCTTGATATGTGTCAGACAGTGTTTTAAGTACTTTGTATTTACCAATGCATTTAATCCTTACAACAACCTTAAGGAAACCATAATTATCTCAATTTTATACATTGGGAAATGTAGGCACAGATTTTAAATAACTTGTGCATGAATACACAGTTGATAAGGGGATCTCCCAGATATCTTTTTAAATTTGTTAATCTGTGTGTGTGTGTGTGTGTGTGTAGCCTTCTTACATTTCATAATGTTTTCTTTAAAGACGATCCCACACTATTTCTAGTTATTGATTACTTCTCATTGTGTCATGTTCCCCTAGGACAGAAGCATTCATTTTCTTGATGTGTTTTTTCAGCTGAAGAAAAGGTGACTGGTCTCATGAGCCCTGAAGAATGAACTCAGAGGAGGTTGTTTACATGAGGTTCTCCCACTCACCAGCTGTTGAGAGTCTGCGATTATGAAGAGCAGGATCTTATTACTTCAATGAAAGCATGTAACAAGTTTCTCAAACCACCAACAGCCAAGTGGATTTGGTACAGTGCGGCTGTCTAATAAATAATCAAAAGCATTTGATAGAAATCTGTCTTGCAGCACTGTCTTCACATTTAATGTTGCTTTCTCTTCTAGTCTCGGGTATGTTTAAATGATTCCCTTTTCTCACTCTAGCGCCAATACTGGCCTGAAGGCTAGATCCCCAGCGAAATTCTTGTTCAGGCTGGGTCTGTCGACTTTGACTCTGCTATTTATAGAGCCAATGTGGGTTAATAACTACTATTTATTGAGTGCCCGTTCCATGCCAAGCATTAGGCTGGGTGCTTTACATAAGTTTAATCCTCACAATAGCCCTGTAAGGTTGCACCTATTATCTCCACTTTGACCACGAAGAAACGGAGACTCAGAGAGTTTGTATCCTATGTGTAAGATCACACAGTTGTCAGAGTCAGGATTCAAATCTAGTTCTAACTCCAAAGCTCTCCACACTAACATTGTTTTGCTTATTATTGCTCCAAAGATAATTACCCCAACACCTTATCAATGCTATACTTCCTCTCATAATGGCAGTGTAGGTATGTGGGAAGTGTCTGAGATGGAGGACCAGGGAGTCTTTAGAGGCGCAAAAGAATCACAGAATTATCTTCTAAAAAAAAACACAATATTCTTTGAGATCAGGAGTTGATAAAATATGGCCCCCAGCTATTTTTGTAAATAAAGGTTTATTGGGAACACAGCCACACCCAATCCTTCAGGTCTATGGCTGCTTCTGCCCTACAGTGATTGAGTTGCATAGTTGTGACGGATTCCATATGGCCCCCAAAGCTTAAAATGTTGACTATTTGGCCCTTTCACAAAAAGTGTGCCAACCTCTGTTTTAGATGACTTTGGAAGAAAGTCAACCATCTTCATTCAGGCCAATGTATTATTTTTTCCATTTGGCTGCAAAAGTACTTAAAGATTGATAATGCTAAGGTAACTACTGTATTCTAATGGTGGTGGTGGTGGTGGTGGTGGTGGTGGTGGTGGTGGTGGTGGTGGTGATGGAGTGGGAGGTGAGGGGGGCTGTAGGGATCTAACCAGGAAAGGGAAGGGGCAGGGAATAGGAGAGGTCTGGGCCTCTGGATCAGCAGTCAACTCCTCACCCCAGACTCCTCCCACTCATGTCCTTCCTATTTCTCCTGCCAAATCAACTGTCCTAAAATAACTCATTGCTCATAAACATGCAAGTGGCTTCCCCCACACAACATGCTCAGAAACCAACACCTTGGCCTGGAATTCAGAGACCATTACAGTTTGACCCCTACTAATCTCTCTCTCCACCCACTTTTTCCCTTTTCCTTTTTTTCATCATGAGGAAATCATGCCAAATTTGAGTTTATATATCAAAGCCAATTTGCTTGTCTTTGATTCACTTTTATGTAGCAGAAAAATAAACATATACTACTTGTAGGTGTTTGTTTTAGTCCTTTTTGGTGGCTGTAACAAAATACCACAGACTGGGTGGCTTACAAAAAACAGAAATTTATTTCTCACAGGTCTGGAGGCTGGGAAGTTCAAGATCAAGGTGCTGGCAGATTCAGCGTCTTGTGAAGGGCTGCCTCCTGGTTCACAGATGGAACCTTCTCACTTCATGCATCCCCACCTGATGGAAGGACTGAGGGATTTCTCTAAGGACTCTTCCATTCATGCCATTCATGAGGGCTCTGCCTCTGACCTAATCACTTCCCAAAGGCCCCACTTCCTATTATTATCATCTTGGGGGTTAAGATTTCAACAGATGGATTTTGTGGAGACCCAAACATTTGAACCAAAACAGTGTTGTAGCCAGGCGCGGTGGCTCACACCTGTAATCTCAGCATTTTGGGAGGCTGAGGTGGGCAGATCACTTGAAGTCAGGAGTTCAAGACCATCCCGGCCAATATGGTGAAACCCTGTCTCTACTAAAAATACAAAAATTAGCTGGGTATGGTGGTGGGTGCCTGTATTCCTAGCTACTCAGGAGGATGAGGCAGGAGAATCACTTGAACCTGGGAGCCAGAGGTTGCAGTGAGCCAAGATCGCACCATTGCACCCCAACCCTGAGCGACAGAGAAAGACTCCATCTCAAAAGAAAAACAAAAACAACACAAAAAAAAAACAGTTTGTATTTGATCACAGGAAGCCAGGCTGAGCTTTCATATATGATGTCACTTCACCTGAGCTAAAAGGTATAAACAAAATAAAAACTTATAAATGCACTGGTTACTTTTCTATAGTAGGCATTATCCAATTGTATTTAGAAAAATTATTCCAGCTATTTTTTGGCCGGGTGCGGTGGCTCACACCTGTAATCCCAGCACTTTGGGAGGCCGAGTTGGGCAAATCATGAGGTCGGCAGTTCAAGACCAGCCTGGCCAACATCGTGAAACCCTGTCTCTACTAAAAATACAAAAAAAATTAGCCAGGCATGGTGGCAGGCACCTGTAATCCCAGCTACTCGGGAGGCTGAGGCAGGAGAATTGCTTGAAACTGCAAGGCGGAGGTTGCAGTGAGCCAAGACCACACCATTGCACTCCAGCCTGGGTGACAGAGCGAGATTCTGTCTCAAAAAAGAAAAAAGAAAAAGAAAAAGAAAAATTATTCTAGCTATTTAAAAAATTTGTAATATTATAAACTCTCTCACTGCTATGTATTTTTCTTAAAGATACTTTTCATGGCTGTAGAACATTTCATCTCCTGTATGTTCTAAAGTCCTCCTAATGCTTCCCCAATATTTGGGCACTGAAAGTTGCACTTTCCACTCATTTCATCGCCTACCTCCATTTCTTGGGATTGTTTTTCCATTGTTGCCCATCTTTGCTCAGGCTGTTTCTTTGGCTTGGAAAGGATCCAATCTTCCCTTTCTATCTCCTTGTCTTAAGTCCTTCCCTTCTAGCATAAGTCCTATCACCTTTCTCCCTCAAACTCTTTGTTATGGAAAAGTACAGATTGACCTTCATAATGAAGGATGGATTTCAAGAGGCTTATTTTCCCCGGAAGTGCTGACACAGTACCATCTTCACCAGCAGCAATGGCATTGCAGTACCAAAGGGCTCACAGACACTACTATTTCCTGGTGCTGTGCTTAGAACAACAGTTTGTTTTAGAAAATGATGATAGCTCACATATATTATGTATTTTCTATATGTCTGCCATTATTCTAAGCATCTTATATACATTAAGTCATTTATCTTCATAACAAACCTATCAAGTGGATATTGTTAACACTCTTATTTTAGAAATGAGAAAATTGAGGTACAGAAAGGATAAGAAATTGCCCAAAGACACAACTGGCAAGACTTAGGATTTGAATTCAGACAGTCTGGCACCAGAGTCTGGGTGCTTAGCCAATGAAATAGAAGTGCAGTGAATTTGCGATGGCTCTTTATCTCCCTAGTCTCAACACAGCCCTTAACATTTTCAGAGTATATGCAGAGGGATAGGGGCTGCTGAGCAGTGTTCTTCCTAGGAACATTGAGTCTATTCCTCTGTGTTAGAGAAACCTGGCTGGGGGCCACCATGCTTTCACAATGAGGAGATTGGTAGGCAGATAAATTTGCTTTGTCCTTGATCATTCTCTGAATATGACGAGTTCAGAGGCACAACCAGAGCCATGGGAGGGTAGATGGAAAGCACTTGTGCCTTCTAGGCCTTAATCATCTCAGTGTCCCTAGTGCCAGCATAAAGTAGGCCATTACACATGGAGAAGGTGTTGTGACACAATCACATCATAATGGCTAGGGTTAAATTAACTATCCCTCCCAGGCCTTCTCCCAGGAAGAAGTGGGGCTTCTTGCAATGGACCACATGGGAGTGACGGTGGGGAGAGGAGATTCAGAGAGCCTTCCAAACGTGAGTATAATTACAAAACTGAGTCAGAAAGGGAATGAATGGTTTTGCCCTCCAGTTTAGAGAATGATGTAACCTCACAGTTCAGGAAGATGTTAAAAGTTATCTCTGCTAGGCACGGTGGCTCACACCTGTAATCTCAGCAGTTTGGGAGGCCAAGGTGGGCAGATTGCTTGAGCTCAAGAGTTTCAGACCAGCCTGGACAATATGGTGAAATCCCATCTCTACAAAACATAAAAAAAAAAAAAAAATTAGCTGGGCATGGTGGCACGTGCCTGTGGTCCCAGCTACTCGGCAGGCTGAGGTGCGAGGATGGCTTGAGCCTGGGAGGCGGAGGTTGCAGTGAGCCGAGATTGCACCATTGCACTCCAGCCTGGGTGACAGAGCCAGACCCTGTCTCAAAGAAAAAAAAAAAAAGTTATTTCTACCAGGTACCCTTCCAGTGCCTGAATCCCCCTATGAATGCTCTGCTAAGCAAATGTCCAGCCCCTGCTTATATACCTGCACTAATGGGGATCTCACTACCAAACAGTCTATTCCAGCTCTCTATGGCTCTGTTAGAAAGTTGGACATTTTGTTGAATGGAAATCCATCTTCCTGTAGCTTCCACCAATTGGGTCTAATTATACCTATGGGATGCTAGAGAACAAGTTAGCTTCATCTTCCATACAATAGCCCTAAAGAAATTTGAAGGCAATGATCATATCCACTCTGAGTTTTTCCTTTCAGGCTAAATACTCACAGTTGCTTTAGTTGTGTCTCTTCTCACATGGTTTCACTAGTCAGGTTTGTGTCCACTGACTGCTTACCACTTGGCTTAGAGCTCTTCAAGTAGAGAGCGCCAGCCCACATCAGGGCAGAACCATTCTTTCCGTCTGTATTAGTCTGTTCTCATGCCGTTGATAAAGACATACTCGAGACTGGGTAATTTATAACGAAAAAGAGGTTTAATGGACTCACAGTTCCATGTGGCTGCAGAGGCCTCACAATCATGGCCGAAGGCGAAAGGCACATCCTACATTGGCAGCAGATGAAAGACAGCTTTCATCTGCAGGGAAACTCATTTTCATAAAACCATCAGCTCTCGTGAGGCTTATTCACTATCATGAGAACAACACAGAAAAGAACTGCCCCCATGATTCAATTACCTCCCACCAGATTCCTCCCACAACACATGGGAATTGTGGGAGCTGCAGTTCAAGATGAGATTTGGGTGGGGATGCAGCCAAACCATATCACCCTCCTGGGCAGACTCTGTCTATAATGAGTGCCCAGGATCAGAAATTTTTGCTTTGACTTCCAAGGGGTTGCAGGGATTTTGGGTGACTTTGGATTTTACTCAGAAAAGGGCAGGAAAAACAAGACCGGGCATGGTGGCTCATGCCTATATTCCCAGCACTTTGGGAGGCCAAGGTGGGAGGACTGCTTGAGGCCAGGAGTTCAAGACCATCCTGACCAACACAGCAAGACCATGTCTCTGTTAAAAAAAAATCAGAATTAGGTTTCTATGGTTGGGAAGAGATAGCTAATATTTTTTGAATGCTCACTACATGCCAGACACTGTGCTCAAAATTTAATATGAATTATATGATTTACCACTCAACAACCCTTATAGGTGCTACTTTTATGATCTCTATTTCACAGCTAAAGAAACTGAGGCTTAGAGAGCCTTGGAGTCTTCCCAGGCTGGGTGGCAAATGCTAAGACTCAGGCCAGATATAGTAGCAGGGAGCAACGGGCAAAGATTTTGGGCTTCAACAAAGGGCAGCATTTGACTAGTGATTATACTCCAGAAAAAACAGGTATAACAGGGAAAGGGGGAGTTGTGGTGAGAATAGGTCTTTTAAGGCCCCAAAGATCCAGAAGGAAAAAGAGCTGTGCAAGGGTAAAACAGAAGGACATTATGAGTAAGAGAGTAATTATTAGTAACAGCTACTACTTGTTAAATAATACTAGCCAGCATTTGACCTACATAATCCCCTTTAATCCTCACAGCAACCCTAAAAGGGAATTACTACTATTCTGATCGGTATGTTACAGACGAGGAAATTGAGGTTTAGCAAGGTAAGTGACTCACTGAAGGCTACGTTGCTGGTAAGCAGCAGCATCTGGATTTAAATTCACACTGCTGACTCCATGCTGATGGCCCTATACTGACTCCCAAAGGGATAGACTGCTGGCAACACTGAAAGGAAGGAAATTTCTCTCCTAAGAGATGGGGGAATTTCAGAATATACGAGGTAGCCCAGGGCTGCAGGCAATACCTGGCACCACTCAGAGAGGATACAGAACCTGGTTCTGGGAGAGACAGTTTTGCCAGACTCTCTACATCAGCCTTTCTATGAGGCTATCCTAACTTGAGGTTTCCTCAGAAAGAGGTTCCTGGAGGCCCAGAGACCTCAAGAGGATAAATGTCTATGACTAGATAGGCTTTTTAAGAACCAGAAACCTAGGTTTTGAACTGATATTTTTATGCCTCTGTAGTCCTCTCCCCGACCCCTTTTTTTGTAAACAATTTGCTTTCTCGCAGTTCAATGGCTCTCAAGCTTAGAGTTCATCAGAATCACCTAGAGGAAATGCTAAAACACAGATTTTTGGATTCTACTCCAAGAGTTCCTGATTCAGTAGATCCAGGGATAAGGCTGGACAATTTGTACTTCATAGAAGTTATGAGGTGATGTGGATTCAGCTGGTCCAGGGATCACATTTAAGAAAAATGCTTTATTTTATTTGTAAAACTACTTTTGAAAATTTCTAAATGGATTTGGCTGTGAAAAAATAAGTACAGAAAAGGCAAAGGACTTGCCTATAGGCCAGAGGTACTGGGAGGGATTGGGTGGGAGACTTAGAGCCCAGCTCGGTACGTGGCTGTGATGGGAGAACTTGTACAAACTGGGGAAGACAGAAGTCACAGTCAGAAGGAACTAGCTGTTTCCCAGATGGGAACGAGGGGAAGCAAAAGGCCCAGGATGAGCTGGGCAGGAGAGCCAGACTGGCCAGAGACAGAGATCAGGTGAGGGCAGAAGCCAAATGGGGTAGAGATGTTGTCAAAAGCTGCAGTCTGCTGGCTGGGCTACAGGGAAAGAACTTGGGAAGCTGGAGGCAAGGAGCCAGGAGTGAGCTCCTGGGGTGTGGACTGTGACAGAGTCTGGTGATCACATTTCAGCTGCAACTCACTGTCCCCAAAAGCCTCTTTCTTCTTTCTCTGGTGGTGCCTGTCAGTCATAAAGTGCCTAGGAATTGCCCTCAGACAGTAATGAGGTTAAGTCCTTGCAGCAAGAGAAGTGGGGACATCGCCAAGCCCTGTCTCCTCTGCTTAGTCGTGGGTCCCATAGTGGCAAGCAGGGGCAGAGCCAGGAAGCACGCAGTCTGGTGAGTAGACTTTAGATGTTCTCCAATCGCCAGGCTATTTCTCCCTCATGGGAAACTGACTCAACTGCAGTACACAGTGTGAAGGAACGACCTTTGTGGCTGCAGCAGTGGGCTAATGGCTTGGCGCCTGGCTGCACTTGTTATTCCTCACGGAGTTGGGAAAGGTTGAATAAGAGGCTCTCTTCCCTTGGTACTAAGAGATGGGCATCTCTTTGAAGGACTGCATGCCACTACTCCTTTCAGCTGGCACACATAGGCCCACCCTGGACCCTGGCTCTCTAAGCACTACCCACCCAGCCTTAGCCAAGCTCTTCTTTTCCCTTTTGTAACTTTCATTTCATTTCTTGTACATCTCTGTCCAGTTAAAAAAGGATGTATTAAGTGCATACTATGTGGCAGACTCTGAGCTGGGGATACAGATATGGGGTAAAAGAAATTCAGCCCTCAAAAAAAAAATCACAGTACAGTCAGGGGGATCCATGTGGAGATGTAATGACAACATTGTAGAATAAATGCTGTTTCTCAAACACAGAGCTCCTTCTCTCCACAAGGCCTTTGTATTTGTTGTTCCTACTTTCTAGAATGTTCTTCCCTAGATCCTTGTACAATTCCTCTTCTCACTTTATACTCAGGTCATTTCCAAGAGAGATCTTCCCTGACATTTCTATGAAAAATTAAACCCTCCCAATTCTCTGAATCCATTTGCCTTATTTATTTATTTAGGAGCTGGGGTCTCACCCTGTTGCCCAGGCTGGAGTGCAGTGGTGTGATCTAGGCTCACTGCAACCTCTGCCTCCAGGACTCAAGTGATCCTCCCGCTTCAGCCTCCTGATTGGCTCTGGCTACAGGCTTGCAGCACCACGTCTGGCTAATTTTTTTTTTTTTAATTTCTGTAGAGATGGGGTTTTGCCATGTTGCCCAGGCTGGTCTCGAACTCCTGGACTCAAGTGATCCACTCATTGGGCCTCCCAAAGTGTTGGGATTACAGGTGTGAGCCACCATGCCTGGCCTAAGTTTTAATTTTAGCACCTATAACCGTCTAGCACGTTAACTTTTTTTTTTTTTTTGGTTGGTCTTCTATACTAGATTGTAAGCTCTGTGAGAGAAACAGGGCCTTGCCCACTACTGAATTTTGTTTGTAGAACTGGTACAGAATAGGTACTCAATATGTATTTCCCTTTTATTCATTCATCATAAATGACTGTCTAATTGAACTTTTGTGAGCCTCTCCAGAGTCATCCAAATGGAAGATGAGGCCTGTCTGCTTGAGGAAGAACTTTCTCAAGCCTACTAAATTCCAAGCTTTCTAAAATCTTCATTGATGCCTCAGGCCACACCGAGCAGGTTCTAACTCCCCACTAAGAATGACTATAATGGGCCTGGCACATGCCCTGTAACCCACACCTGTAATCCTAGCAATTTGGGAGGCTGAGGTGGGCGGACTGCCTGAGCTTAGGAGTTCGAGACCATCCTAAGCAACATGGCTAGAACCAGTCTCCGCTAAAAGTACAAAAAATTAGCCAGGTGTGGTGGGGGCGCCTGTAATCCCAGCTACTCATGAGGCTGAGGCACGAGAATTCCTGGAACCCGGGAGGCAGAGGTTGCAGTGAGCCAAGATGGCACCACTGCACTCCAGCCTCGGTGACAGACCGAGACTCCATCTCCAAAAAAAAAAAAAAAAAAAAAAAAAGAGAATGACTATAATTTATTCACTACTAATTATGTACCATACGTTATTTAATCCTCACAATCCTCTGCAAAGTCCGCATTATTTCTCTCATTTTACAGATGAAACAAGCTCAGGCAGACTGACTTGCTCAAAATCATACAGGTAGCGAGGTGCCGGGGAGGATGGGTGGGTCCCCGGGAAAAACTGTGCCAGGCCCCAAAGCTCATATTAATCCCACACCCACGTTTCCGCCACTCTCATCCCTATATCCCTCCTCCCACGTTTCCACCACATCCCCTAAAGGTCTTTTCCCACGTTTTCGCTACATCCCCACCCCAGCCCTTTTCCTCCCTTTGGACCGCTGGGTCCGCTCAAGCCTGGCTGCCCCTCGAAGGATAGTGTGGGGAGGGGCTTCAGATGCGTGCTGGGTGGAGGGTGGGCTAATCCGTCTCCAGCACCAGATACTCTTTCCTTCCCGGGCCCTCCGCACCGGCCGGCTGCTGGATGCCCAGTGGCCTATTTCAGGGCCGGAGAGACCGCTATCGCTGGAGGAAAAAGGATGGGGGAAGGGAGTGCAGCCTGCAGAGGCACTAGCGGTAGACAGACGGGCGGCGCTCCCCACCCTCCACGGCTACTTCCCGGGAGCAGTCAGCCGCTGCGCGCAGGCGCGGTGCGCTCCTCAGCCCCTCCCTTCTGCGGGCCGCCCTTTCACCCTGGCAACCGCGGCGTGACTACGGCGCGCGCGGTCTGGGCGCGGACGGGTGGGGCCGGGCGGTGCCGGTGCGGGCTGGGGCAGTGCAGTGAGTAGCGGTCTTGGGGTGTGCGATCTCGCTGAGCCTCCTCACACGGTTCGTCGTCTCGGGTTCGAGCCCAGTGGGCTTAGCCACTCGCCATGGACTCCCAGAAAGTAAGCGGGGGAGGGGAGCCCGGGGCTACCGAGACAAGCCGGGCCGGCACAGGGTGGGCGGGGCGCCTGGGCCCGTGGGCTGTGGGTGCGCGGGGTGGGCCTGGCCGGGCGTCCGGGCTGCTGCTGCGGAGGGCAAGGCCGCCCGGCCGCTCTCTGGGCGGGAGCTAAGAGGCGCCCACACGGATGCGGGGACCGCGCCCGGTGACTCGGGCTGGCCTCTGCTCTGCGCGCTGTCCGGGGCCCTGACTCTGGAGGAGAAACGGAGCCATCCCCCTTTTAAAATCAGCCACTCTGCAGCGCTTTAGGCCGGTTTTCATGCCTGCAGACTGCGAGCGTGCTGGTGGGGGTGTATCCCTCCTCAGCAGGTGAGGAAACCGAGGCACAGCCTTTTTGGTGTCTCCCTGCTGACGCCGAAAGCTGGGGCTTTCTCCTCGACCAAGTCTCGTCTCAGCACCACGCTCTTTAGGTCAGGGACCGAATCTCCTTTGTACCGCCCACCGCTCCCCTTCCCATGACTTTTCCTAAGTAGATCTTAGTGTTTAGTGTTCGTTGAATGGAGGGAAAAGACTTCAATTGTTAGGGCAGCCTTCCCACTCTCTGACCAGTTGGTGTTGCTGGGCACAGTTACTTAGGGGTCGTTGTGGAATGTTTTATACTTTCCGAACAGTTGAGGAAAGGTTATATAATCGTAAAGGTTCAATTCAGAAGTATTTGGAGAACAAAGCCAATGTCTTGAATACAGTTAGAAGTGAATTATTCAGTCATAATCTCCATATGAAAATAACCACCCTGTTCTCTTTGTTAGACTATAACGTAATTGAAATATAGTACAGGGTAGGAAAGAAAAAACAAGGAGTATTAATAATGTAGCAGGGAAAACAAAGACATATCTAAGAGACTATTCTTTTCTATTATTAGAAAGCACGGGAAAGACTTAGAACAACGTTTTCTACAATTTTGTCTACATTCACCTTCTTGAGGATCACTTCACTGAGGGCATGAGAGAATAATGATGTGTTGAGCATTGACTATTACAGTATTTAACAAATATGCATATGATTTCATTGTATGTGTTGGTCTTGAAACTCACCTTGGAATGCATGACTATTCTTAAGGCATTTTTTAAAAATTAGATTTTGTGTATTTTGAGTATGTATAGGTTTAAAATATTGTCTCTGCCTAAATTTGTAAAACATCTCTCAGCTTATTAGATAAAAGAAATGATATTTGAATGGACATTAGCAGAGGTCAAGTGAAGGAGCAAAGTCCGGAGACATGGGTTCCAGGATGCTATTTACTAGCTCTGTGATAAGGAGCAAGTCACTTAACTGTGATTAATCTGTTTCCTCATCTATGCAGTAGAAGTAAGAGTATTTTATAGTGTCATAGTAAAAATCTGATAAAATAGTTTGTTCTGAAAACACAGCATTTTAAAGTTTACAAAGTATGACCACTAAAATACTGTGTCCCATAAAATACAAAAAAATGTGTTTTAATATTGATCATCATACTTTATCAGGGATGCATTATTCCTTACTTTAATGAGTTGTGACTCCTGGAAGGTCATGCTACTAGCCCTAAGGCTAAGATTTGAACCTATTTGTTCTCATTTCGAATGATGTGTTAGGGTACCTACAGGTTACCACGTGCAGTTTCCTGAGAGGTAGCAAAGAATTAGCTTCTCTTTCTTAGTAGTAGTAGTAATGTATCTTATTTGTGATATCTTTGAGAATCAACTTCTCAATATTAGAAAATATGTTGAATTTCATTGGTGGTACCAAATCTTTCTAATGAAAAAACAAACACCCTTTGGTTTATAGCTGTAAAAAGAATGTCCGGGATTAATGTGTATAACCAGTTCAGTGCTCTGAACCTGAGCTTCCTTTTCTCGTATGAATTCCTGCAGAATCACAAGCCTCAAATAGTAATGATCTAAGCTGGATATTGTTCTCTTTAAATAAGACAGTAGTACACCCCAGACATGATTTTTAGATACTATTTTCTGTTATGGAATGTACATTGAAAATAGTAGTAGGGGTAGTACCTCAGTCAGTAGAGTATAAGAAAAATAGGTACTGCAAAGTGTGAGGAAGGCCTGAATATATACCTGAATGTTTGTTAGGCATTGGGATTTGGGCTTTACATTAGTAAGAGGATGGCTCTGGAGCCAAGTCTCCAGTTCTACTATTTATAAGCTGTATGAGCTGGGATAGTTTGCTCTGTCTCCATTTCTTCATCTGTAAAACAGAGATAACAATAATTGTAATTCTCTCACAAGATTATTGTGAGGATTGTGTTCTTTTTTTTTTTTTTTTGAGACGGAGTTTTGCTCTTGTCGCCCAGGCTGGAGTGCAACGGTGCAATCTTGGCTTACTGCAACCTCCGCCTCCTGGGTTGAAGAGATTCTCCTGCCTCAGCCTCCTGAGTAGCTGGGATTACAGGCGCCTGCCACCACCCCTGGCTAATTTTTGTATTTTTAGTAGAGACGGGGTTTTACCATGATGGCCAGCTGGTCTCAAACTCCTGACCTCACTCAGGTGATCCGCCAGCCTTGGCCTCACAAAGCGCTGCGATTACAGGCTTGAGCCACTGTGCCCGGTCTTGCATTCATTTTTAAAACCCACTAAACAGTGCCTAGCATACAAAAATACTGTTAGCTACTGTTATTAATTTAATAATCCTAACTTCAAAGTAACTTTCTCCTTTTAAAATTAAGTGTAGACATTTTTCCTTTTTTTTGAGACGAAGTCTCGCTCTGTGGCCCAGGCTGGAGTAGTGCAGTGGCGCGATCTTGGCTCACTGCAAGCTCCACCTCCCAGGTTCACGCCATTCTCCTGCCTCAGCCTCCCGAGTAGCTGGGACTACAGGCTCCCGCCACCACGCCTGGCTAATTTTTTGTATTTTTAGTAGAGACGGGGTTTCATCATGTTAGCCAGGATGGTCTCTATCTTCTGACCCCGTGATCCGCCCGCCTCGGCCTCCCAAAGTGCTGGGATTACAGGCGTGGGCCACCGCGCCCGGCCCGACATTTTTACTTTTAAAGCATCTTTTCTGCTATTATATCTGTAAGAAACGATTCACATGGTGGTTCCAGAGAAGAGTTGTTACATTCTAATAGAAAGAGGTTTGGAAGTTCTGAGTCATGCAGTCTGACAGTAGAGGTTAACTTAACTAGGCAGTCTTACAGAAGCTTCATGGTGGCTAGTCAACAAATGGATTAGCTTGACCAGCTGCTTTTTTGTTTGTGAAAATAACTTGGACTTCAGTGTTAATGTTAGCAGCAGATGCTCTGTTTGAGTAGAGGAAGAAAACGTAATAACCCCGGGTATGTAGGCATACTGTTGGATACAGAAAACCACAGTATTAACTCCTGGAAATAAACAGAGGGATTTTGTTTATATCGAGTTTCTGGGACGCTTTCGTGAACAGGATGTGTTATGGATAGGTGGCTTTTGTTTGATACTCAAACCTTTTGATTATGCCTTTAAACGGCTTTAAGATAAAATCCCAAAGGTTTCTTTACCGGATGAAATGTGCACGTTCAAAGAAAACGTTGAAACAAATAAGACATTTGTACCTTTTTAGAATCTTGGAGCTTGGAATTTTATAGTTTAACTTTTTGTACAGATTATTCACATACATAGGGATCACTCTTTCTAAGAAAGGTACTTACTGTAGGAATAAGAAAGGGTGGAGAGGAAGGGAGATGAGAGCTCAGAGGAAGGAAGTCACCAAGAGCATATATTGTCACTTGTTTGCTTTTCCCCATTATTTTTCCTGCATATTCTTCCTACTTGGAAAGGGGTAGTGAGTGACAGGTGAGGCTTGACTGGACAAAACTAGATTGGGGAGATTGAACTGAGCAGGAGTTTTAAACATGACAACCTGCAACAAGTAGCAGATCTACACTTGGCTTCCTTATCCCAGTTTCCTGCTCCAAGCTATGTGCTATTCTTTGCCTTCATATTGTACCTTACTAGTTCTGAGAACCCCACCACATCCATAACCAACCAACTGTTCCATGTTCCAAAATTACGCCTCAGTTAAAAAAAATTGTTTCCTGAGGAAAGAGGAATGAAATTTGATTACTGTTCTGCATCCAGTATTGTGTCGGACTGTCACAACAGTTCTTATTCCTGTTGCACTGTTAGGGAAAATGAAGCCCAGAGAGGTTAAGTGTCTTGTTCACAGTCACACAGCTAGCAAATAGTAGTCTGGATTCAAGTCAAGTTTTTCTTTACAACCCATAGTTTTTTCATTACCACGCTTCTTGCCTGAATTCTTTGCATTTCAATGGTGGTATGATTAAAGTAATTGAAACTTAAAATGTAACAGGGATAAGCCCCTATAAAGCAGGGTTCCCTCCCTCCCTCCCTCCTGTGGGCGCTCGCTCGCCTGCCTGCCTGCCTGCCTGCCTGCCTGCCTGCCTGCCTGCCTTCCTTCCTTCCTTCCTTCCTTCCTTCCTTCCTTCCTTCCTTCCTTCTTTCCTTCTTTCCTCCTCTCCTCTCCTCTCTTTTTCTTTTCTTTTTTCTTTCTCAGAGTCTTGCTGTCTTGCTCAGGCTGATGGCTCACCATGGCAACCTCTGCTTTCTGTGCTCAAGCTATCCTCCCAGCTCAGCCTCCTGAGCAGCTGGGACTACAGGTGCATGCCACCATATACTTGGCTAATTTTTGTGTTTTTTGTAGAGACAGGGTTTTGCCATGTTGTCCAGGCTAGCCTTGAACTCTTGGGCTCAAACGATTGACCCGCCTTGGCCTCCTAAAGTGCTGGGATTATAGGTATGAGCCATCACGTCTGACCTAAAGTTGTTTTTTTTTTTTTTTTTTTTTTGTTAAGCTAGTTAAGTGTAGTGAAAATAGTTGATAGATGATAAAGAACATGATTTAGGTAAAAACCTGGAATTTGGTCTCTCTTGTTGCCCCAAATAAAAATCACTATTTTAATTTTAATTTTAATTTTTTTTGAGACAGAGTCTTGCTCTGCCACCCAGGCTAGAGTGCAGCGGTATGATCTTGGCTCACTGCAACCTCTGCTTCCTGGGTTGAAGAGATTCTTGTGTCTTCGCCTCCCTCGTAGCTGGGATTATAGGCGCCCGCCACCACACTCAGCTAATTTTTTAAATTTTTAGTGGAGATGGGGTTTTGCCATGTTGGCCAGGGTAGTCTTGAACTCCTGCCTGACCTCAGATGATCCTCCCAAAGTGCTGAGATTACAGGCAGGAGACACTGCGCCTGGCCTAAAATTACTATTTTTATTTTGTGTGTGTGTGTGTGTGCGTGTGTGTGCATGTCTGTCTGCATGTATCTTTCCCCTTTTTTCAACTCTTTTGAGGGAATGTCTTAGCTTTCTATAGTAGAACTGTGAGCAAGAAAGTAGAAATGAATACCATATTGACATACTTATGACCACTATATATAATACAGATACATTCATTTTTCAATTGAACTTGGCAGTTTTTAAAAATTAGAAAGATAGTGAAGCAGACCTTTTTTTAAAAAAATTTTAACATAGTGCTTGTTTGCAATGCGTGGCTGAATGTAAGCAGGATTATTTATACAGTAAACACATATTGAATGTTTGCTGTAGTGCTAGATATTCTACTCTTAGGGTGGAAAATATTTTAAAGTTGGTGGATTTTATCTCCAGACTTTTAAAAATATGTTTTTCACTCTTTGTTGGCACTTCTTCCCAGCCACAAGGTTCTGATAGAATCTGGTTTCAGTTATTGATGCTTGTTGATTGCTGTTAATTGAATTTTGAACTAATTTATTAAAAAAGTATTAACGTAGCCAGCTTTTGCATTTCTATTGCATTATAAATATAGGTAATACAAGTTTATTGTAGGAAAATAAGAATATAAATAAAGTGAAAATAAAATAAAAACCACTCAATTCTGCCACCCAGAGATAACCTCTTCAACATTTATGTCACCATCTAGTTTTTTGGTATGCATATAAAAACTTTTCTAAAATTATGGTATCATGCTATATATGCTGCTCTATAATTTGCATTTCACATAATAAATTATGGATATTTTTCCATATTAATCATTCTACAATACTTTTAATGATTCAACAGAATTCTTTTGTATGCATGTTTTACAGTACCCTTTTGTTGTATCTTTTTGTTGATCCCAACCTTTTAATGTTATAAATATCACAGATAAGCATCCTTGTAGCCAAGTCTCTGCTTACACCCTTAATTATTCACTTACAATAAATTAGAAATGGAATTACTGAGTCAATGTATATCTATTTCAAAAATTTTATTTGATACATATTGTCAAGTTGCCCTTGAGAAGGGTTGTTAGTTTATACTAATACTCGCATCTCCACTCCAATGCCACCTTCTTTCATTAAATGGTAGGACCTCTGGTTTCTTTGGCCGACTATGAGCCTCCTTGACTTTACTGGGTAAAACAGCCAGTTCAAAGGCCACTGCACATGGTTAAGGCTTCTTTATCCTCTGGTGTGCTTTATTTTCCTCAAATCCTAGATGGGAGATTACCTCCTCATATGCTGTGATATCTTAAACTGGGTTCAGGGCAGAAAGGCAGCATTCCCCAGCCAGTTCTTTTACTAGCATTTAGACTTTTTCTCAGCTGGTAAGCTAGACAATCAGAATTGATTGTAGGCTGTCTCAGTTACATCTGTGTACAGGTAGTGTTCTCAACTGTTTCACTGTTAGAGAGGGTGTAGCCTTCCATCATTTAGGTATATTATGATTAGATTCCTGAATTTCCCAGTTCTCTTTTTTTCACCTTCTTGCATCACATCTGAGCATGATACTTTTGTTAAAATAACTGGTGAGATTCTGATTATCTAGCTAACAGCTGGATAGCGCTTTCTTGATTCCGCTCTTTATCACTGTATGGTAAACCTACCTAACAGCAGTAGTTTAAGCATACTATTAGAATGATCCTGTATGGCAGACTCACCTGAATGTGTCTTCTGAGCTTCACTGGGCTGTGTAGTTACCTTGTCCAGCCCACTGCCACTGGACCTTTTCTGTATATAAGGCAGTTCTCCTGCTCAGCCTGCCACCACTGGACTCTCTCCCTTGTATGTAATCCCTTAATAAAATACCATGCCTCATTTGGTGGCTCTGGGTTTCTTCAGCCTCTTGAACCTGGTGCCATCCCCACTGGAGTCGATGGAGGGGTTCAGCATGAAGTCACCTAATTCAAAGGACAGGTCTATGTGTGGGATGATGCAAGTGGCATCATTTCTGGTGGCATTATTGGGCATTTTCCAGGAATGTTACATGCTGATTTGATCAATCCCTTTCCTCTGGTTGCAGGAACCCTATGATTATTTCATACAATCCCCAACAGTTTAGGCAGCCTAGGGTACAGGCTCTGGAGGCAACCTCCTGGATTTGAAAAGCAGAGGTTCTGGGGACAACCTCCTGAATTTGAATCATGACTGCCAGTTGATAGCTGTGTGACCTAAAACAAGTTTCTTAACATCTTGAATCTTTCCTTTTTCCAACCATAAAATGTGAAGACTCATACTACTTTTTTATCAGATTTGATGATTAAAAAGTTACTCCATATTAGCAGCACAGTGCCTGGCACATAGAAGGTGCTTAATGAAATACTAACTAAATTGGCTATAATAATAGTTTGACCCCCTTAAATTATAGATCTATTTGTGGTATTTGCAGGGGCTCTAGATTTTTGTATCTTGATTTTTTGGAATACTACTGTAGAATTTGACTCAGAAGTCTTCTCCTCCTCTGAGAAGATGCTGGTGGGAAACCCATATGTCAGCATTTCTCTAATTATGACCACATGGATGCTGATGCCCTCTGATTTGGGGTTATAACCTGTTGATCAGTTCCAGGTTTCCAGATTGTTGATCAGTTCCAGATTTCTAATCTTGAAGTAAAATCTTAGTCCTTTGGATGCCTTTAGCCGTTCTGACCTTTTCATGAACCTCTGATCTCTGTTTTATTAGGTAGTACAGTGTAGTCCTTTAAGAGCATAGACTTAGGAATCAAACTGTCTTAATTTGAATCCTGGCTGTGTGACATATTAGCTTTGATATTCTAGGCAAGCTGCTTAACTTCTCCATGCGTCAGCTTCCTCATTGGAAAATGAGGATAATAATAGTAACTTACTTCATAGGATTCTTGAAAGGATTAAATGAATTAATAATATGTATAGAGCTTAAGATAGTACTTGGCACTTAAGAGTACCAAAGTGCTCTTTTGCTCAGTCTATTGATTATCCTTTTACTTGATTGATAATGATTATAAACATAACTTTAAGCTGTGCTGCGTTGAAGAGAGTAACTTATATCTTGTACATCTTAGATTACTTTGATTCATTCCATAACAGTGGTTGCAGTTGTGCTTGGCTAGGGTGTATATGATGCTTTTTCTTGTTGGTGTAGCAGTTGCCTTAGTCTAAATCCATAGTCACATCATTGTATTTTTTTGTTGTTGTTATGAGGGCCTGGTAATTGTGCTACATCACCAAAAGACATTTGCTGAGATTGCCTGTGCAGACTTCCTATGGAGACTTATCTCATATATTTTACTATGATCTAGCAGAATTGGCATTTGTCAAAACATGTCTTCAGACCTGTGTCACCTAGAACTTTTAGTTGTCACCACATGAATCTTATAAAATATAATTTTCTAGATAAGCTTCAGATAATTTATATTGCCTTTATTCATCTCTGTTTATCTATTTATCCATCAGTGTTTGTAAGGTAACGGGAGGCTTGAGATCTGATATAAAAATCTGAGACCTTCGTAGGCATCCTTTAAGGTTGATAGAATCCCATGGGGCAGATGAAAGTTGTCTTTGCCCTTCTTTACCCATAAGGCTTTGATTAGAAAAAAAAATGAAATGACTATATGTAACATGGGCTCATTCTATAAGTACATTTTTGGAATTTGTTTTATCAGTACATTGTGTATATGTTTTAGGACAGAGGTTATAGGTAGAGAAACTGATAAGTGAGAGGGCTCCTAGGTAGAAAGCAAGTCAGATTAGATAAATTCATAGCAGGCTATGCAGCTGGAGTGTAACAAGGGAGAGGAAGTCTGGGGAGATGAAGCAGGTGAGGTAGGCAGTGGACAGATCATTTGAGATCTTATAGGTCATGTTAAAGATTTTCAGTTTTATCCAAGGTACAATGGGAAGCTATTGAAGAATACTGATCAGGAAGAGTGATGCTATCATTACCCTAGCTGAAGTATATAGAGAACTGATTACTGGGGAGAAAGATTGTTACCAGAGTCTGATTAAGAAAAATTTTGCTACAGTGAAGGTTGAGATATAGGTTGAGATATGATAGTAACTTTTACTAAGATAGTAGTAATAATTCTAATGTCACAGGATACTTTGGATGTTTCTTAACCAGCTAGAAACCTCTGTAGCTGGCAGTGTCTCTCCTTGAGTTTCACTCATGCCGGCTGGGCTTGTTCTGCCCACTTGGCCTGGCAGGCTGTGCTTAGCTCATGCTGCTGGCCTGGATCCCACACCTGCCGAGGGCGAGCCAGGCATGGAGCAGTGAGGGGTGTGTGAGCGAGCGAGTGAGTTTGGGGTCCGGCCACTGTGCACAGCCTAGCATGCTGGCTGCTGTGGCCATACGGGCAGCTCCGGGCACTGGCACAGTCACTGGCTCCATGCGAGGCTGCAGCTGGACCAAGCATACTGCAAGTGGCTTCCTCTGTGGGTGCCTGCGTCTGGATGAAGTGAACACAGTGGTGCCTGAAAACTCAGAGATGCCAGTAACTGCAGAGCCCCAAGGGGTCGGGGGCAGGGGTGCTACACCTCTCTTGTTCCTGCCACCTGCAGCTTGGCCAGTGGGAGTGGCAGGGCATGTTTCAGCCTGTTCAGTCCTGCCACCTTGCTTGGGCCCGTGGCTCCCAGGCTGGCCCAATCCCGTTGTCACTTGCTGTCATGTGGGGCAGCCGCCTGATGCTGGTGGAAGTTGGGAGGGCTATAGTGTTACAGCTCTGGCTCAGGGAATCCCGAGGTCTAGGCCCTTAGAAGTGTTGCTACTCTTCACTCCTGCAGTTCATGTCACTGTCTGCAGCTTGGTGAGCTGGCCAGGAACATGTTACAGCCCCTTTTGCTCCTGTCTGCAGCTTGGCAAGTGGGCCAGGAAAGTGTTACAGCCCTTTCTGCGCCTGCCTTTTGGCGGTTCCTGAGTTCTTGTCCTGCGTCCAGGAAGAATGAGGTTGCATGGACAACTGGATGGTGAGCAAGGCAGTGGAGAGTTTTACTGAGTGACAGAACAGCTCTCAGTGGAGAGGAGTCCTGAAATGGGTAGTCCTGATAGATGGCTGAGTCCAGGGTTTTTATGGGCTCAAAGTGGGGAAGTGCATGCTGATTGGTCCATGGGCAGGAGGAAGTATGTGCTGATTGGTCCATGGGTGGGCGTGGAAAAAGCACCATTTGTTTGACTGAAAGGCATAAAGGAAATTCTTATTCAGGGTTGTGGATTCCATCAGGAACTGGCAGCCCAGTTTTCAGGCTTCAGACTGTCTTTGGCCTGAAGGTCAGGTTTCACCAGGGACCCACCCCTATCTGCCTAGGACTACGTCTGCCTCCTGCTGCTATCACTAGAACCATTAAGGGGTAAAATCTATAGAACTTTGTGACTTCACGTAGAGCACAAATTAGAGGAGAGGAGATAGTGATGATGGCCTAGCTTTCTGTCTTCGCTCTTGATTAAATTTGGAGGTCCTGGAGGGATAGACTGGGGTAGAAAACTCGTTGAATTATGATATATTTTAGATCTTTTCTGCTCTCTTTCTCTGCCCTGGCATATTGCCTACCATATCTAGAAAACACTTTTTAAAAACTGCTGGATTTGATGCCTGTTCAGCCAGTCTCCCCTTGTATACCTCCTAGATTAGGCACATACTATCCTTATATACACCTTTTACTTGACTCCTACCACCATAGAGAAAATTTTAGCTTTATGTCACATATGCAAGCTAGGGTCAAGTTTCAGAACTCAGCACATGTAATCCTGTTTCTTTAGTTTTCATATGTTTTGGTGCTGTGGTGGTAGTTTTGTCTTAAATATTCTGATTCCTTGTAACTTGTTTTCCAGTTCTACTGAGCACCAAGTTCCTTAGTGCTTTTTATCTTTATGCCATTTCCACTTAGTTCCAGCCAGTCCCCATTCTTGTGAGGGTCAGAAAGGTTGAAGCCTTGGCCCTCTCCCTGATAAACTTACTATTTTAGAATGCTAAATATGAGCCTTGGATTACAGTCTTTTTCATTTGCTCATCCTCTCTACAGCAGTTGCAGATTAAAGGGCAAGTGGATCAGAGCTTCTGGAGCCTTTGTCTCAGTAGTCTGCCCTTGGGGAACTTTGCGAATATTTCCTTCCTCCTTTAAGCTTAGAAAAGCTTAGCAGAGAGGCAGCATTTTATCTGTATTAGCTAACAAGGTCACATTGGTTGCTATGACTTTCTCTTTATGATCTGAATGGTTGCTTTTTCTGCAGCCAGGTTTACTAATGTATTCGGTAGCTTTGAAAATATAGATGATCTTAAATGCTGGGGTTCCAGAGTCCTCTACAGCTGGCTTGTCCATTCTGATAGCATCTCAGTGGTGTATTGTAGCCAAGGCTCTGAAGCCCTCCTCATCTAAAGATTGCAGTGCGTCCTCTGAAAATAATCTAGGCCTTTAGTCTTTGCAGTTTTGGCATTAGGGTAAAGCAACTTTTCTCAGAATGTGGACCCTTTATCTAGGTGTGTATTACAGACTCTCATGCTGTACTGGAACTCCTTGTTAAATTCAAGAGCTGTAGAGTGCTCTCTCTTCAAAGAATGAGACTGTGTTTCTCAGAAATACTATATCAGCCTTTAAAGACCTTTCTTTCTCATCCACTTTCTGGGGAAGTACAGTATTTTTACAGCCTTAGGCAATTCATATAGGATATCATTCCCCTAAAGGCTTTAACACAGATTGTAGAGTTTCTTTCCAGAAGTATGGCTATTAATACATCTTAGGCCAATACAGTTGAAAAGGGTCTTTCATCTGTGGTAATAGAATTTTGAATGAATTTAAGAGGAATGGTAAAGATAAGATTAACTGTAATCGCTGGGAGTGGTGGCTCATCCCTGTAATCCTTGCACTTGGGAAGCCGAAGTGGGTGAATCACAAGGTCAGGAGTTCGAGACCAGCCTGGCCAGCATGGTGAAACCCCATCTCTACCAAAAAATACAAAAAATTAGCCAGGCACGGTAGCTTGCACCTGTAATCCCAGCTACTCGAGAGGCTGAGGCAGGAGAATTGCTTGAACCCAGGAGGCAGAGGTTGCAGTGAGCCGAGATTGCACCACTGCACTCTAGCCTGGGTGACAGAGTGAGACTCCATCTCAAAAAAAAAAAAAAAAAAAGATTGACTGTAATCTAAGGGTGGTATTTTTTTGGAGGTATGCGATAGTATCATAGAAAATGGAAGGCATTATTCTGATGATTCTTTGAATTTGTCTAACCTGTATGTCAGTTGTCCTTAGGTGCAGTCTTGTTTTTGTTAGCTGCCAACTTTGACGTGGACATTTGCACTTTCTGTGATCCCAAGAAGTCTTCTCTAACCCAAAACATGAGTGAACGGTGTAAATTTCACAGGAGAGAGGAGTGTATTTGTTTCTTCTGTTATGGTATTGGACCCCGAAGTGGTGTTACTTATGTACCAATTTCTTTTGAGAGTTGGTAATTTTAAAATGTCTTTCACCTTCTAGAGTTAATATTTATGTAAATAAAAACTGAGAAATGAGTGAAATTCTGGTAAAGGAAGTTGGTTGTAACATTTTAACTTATATCCACATATAGCTATTATAATTCAAGAATCTGGCATAACATAAGCACATAAAGAAATTCTGGTCTTCCAAGAAAAAAGTTCAGAAAGCTTTTAGGTCGTTTATTTTTAATTGCAAATTAATAAGATTAATAGAGGATCTCTGCCCTATTTCCACTCTTAGAAATATATGGTCTGTTTGGATGACATAGACCTCTTAAGTCTGTATTATCCAGGATGGTAGCTTCTAGCCGTAATGTGGTTTTTGAGCACTTGAAATGTGGCCAGTTTGAATTGAGATATGCATAAGTGTAAAATACAAACTGAATTTTGAACACTCCGTACCAAAAAAAAAGAAAAACTCATTAATTGTTAAATATTGACTACATGTTGAAATGATAATATATTTTGAATCTATTAAATAAAATATTAAAATTAATTTATCCTGTTTTTCCTTTACTTTTTTGATGTGGCTGCTATTGGCTCCTACTGTATTTATATTGGACAGTACTGCTTTAAGGAGAATGAAAACGTTACAGTTGATAAAGCCTGTTTTCTGATCTCTAACATCACTATTGGACCAGAGTCTATTAACTTGCAGCAGGTTGGTAGCTCTTAAAGGAGCAGAGGTTTTAACTTGAAGATCTGATTCAAAATTAGAGCATTTAGATGTCTTTGACTATACTCATTAAAAAACAGGAACATTAAAAAGGTAGGCTTTAGCTGGGAGCAGGGATCATGCCTGTAATCCCAACACTTTGGGAAGCTGAGGTGGGAGGATTGCTGGAGCCCAGAAGTTCGAGACCAGCCTGGGCAACATAGTGAGACCTCGTCTCTACAAAAAATCAAATAATGAGGCAGGTGGATATGGCTTGAGCCCAAGAGGTTGAGGCTGCAGTGAGCTACGATTGTGTCACTGCACTCCCACCTGTGTGACAGAGCCTCAAAAAAAAAAAAAAGGCTTCTCATTAAAATCTTGGGAGCTCAGGTCTTATCTAGTTGGGGCAATAAGTTACAGCTATCTCCAGATTTTTGCTATGTAATTTCTGAAATGCAAAGCTTGCTACTAAACTTAGACCAAAAAAATATGTAAATGGGAAGCTATTTTATGCTAAGGAGATTTTATTTTTTGCTCTGAACTGTATCTGCCTTTTTTTTGGTACCAATGTTTTATAATTTTTTTTGGTGGAAAGTTTTTTTAAGTTTTGTTTTTTTTTTTTTTGAGATGGAATCTTGCTCTGTCACCCAGGCTGGAATGTAGTGGTGTGATCTCGGCTCACTGCAACCTCCACCTCCCGGGTTCAAGCAATTTTCTTGACTCAGCCTCCCGAATAGCTGAGCTGGGATTACAGGCGCCCATCACCACGCCTGCCTAATTTTTGTCTTTTTAGTAGAGACAGGGTTTCGCCATGTTGGCCAGGCTGGTTTCAAACTTCTGACCTCTGGTGATCCACCCGCCTCAGCATCCCAAAGTGCTGGGATTACAGGCATGAGCCACTGTGACTGACATTTTTTTTTTTTTTTTTTTTTGAGACAGAATCTTGCTCTGTTGCCCAGGCTGGAGTGCAGTGGTGAGATCTCGGCTCACTGCAGCCTCCACCTCCCAGTTCAAGTGATTCTCCTGCCTCAGCCTCCTGAGTAGCTGGGATTACAGGTGCATGCTACCACGCCTGGCTAATTTTTGTATTTTTAGTAGAGACGGGGTTTCACCATGTTGGCCAGGCTGGTCTCAAACTCCTGACCTCAAGTGATCCACCTGCCTGGGCCTCCCATAGCGCACATGTGTGGTGGCACATGCTTTTTTCACTACTACAATACTTTATATGAACATTTGTATAAAATGTTGCCAGGTATGGTAGCTTACACCTGCAGTCCCAGCACTTTGGGAGGTTGAGGCAGGTGGATCTCCTGAGGTCAAGAGTTTGAGACCAGCCTGGCCAACATGGTGAAGCCCCGTCTCTACTAAAAATGCAAAAATTAGCTGGGCGTGGTGGCGGACACCTGTAATTCCAGCTACTCGGGAGGCTGAGGCAGGAGAATTGCTTGAACCCGGGAGGTGGAGGTTGCAGTGAGCCGAGATCACGCCATTGCACTCCAACCTGGGAGACAACAGCCAAAAACTCTGTCTCGAGAAAAAAAACTTAAAAAAAAAATGTTATCTCCCTTCAGACTGTTTCCTGGGCTCCTTATCTATAACCCTTTGTCGATATCTGATTATATTTTTTAGGAAAACCTTTATTCCACAAAGTCTTATAGGCTTTATTAAAATATTTAAGCTCATAGGTGCTTACAGAAAAAAGTCCTATGCTTCTGAGAAAATTACAAAGTATTAAAGTACTTGCATTTGATTTTTTTCTGAGACTATAAATAACCTTGTTTGGTTTTTGCTGTTGCTACCAATGAGGAGTTACTGCAACTAGACTTGTGCTGTCCAATATGATAGCATTGGTTACATTTGACTATATAAACTTAATTAAAGTTGGAAAAATTAAATTTAGTTCCTCAGTTCTAGTCACATTTCAAGACTTCTTTAACTGTGTGTGGCTAGTGGCTACCATATTGGGCAGCACATTTATAGAACATTTCCATCACAGTGGAAAATTTTATTGGATAGCACCGAACCAGAGAGAAAATTAACCAAATGTTTTATTTAAATAGGAAGCATTATCAAAGTCTGAGCTATCTGCTACTAAAATTGCTTTATTTATTATAGTTCTACAGCATCTGTAAATATTGGAATGAATGTTGTCATTCTAAATGCACATGTATTATCTAGTTTCATATCTCTAAAATAGGTTTATTTTTGTAAATAAATAAAATGTTGATGAATTTGTGTCTCCTCACTTTTATTCCTCGGTTCCTGATGTTGTATTCCGTTTCCATTTGTTTTTACAGCATTTAAAGATTTTGCTCTATTCCATTGTCATGGCTGATGACCTAAAATAATTCTATTGATATTAAGTTAAACTGATCATTTTCAATCTGAAAAGTATCATGGTGATTAAGTTGCATATTAGGAATAAGAGGGCTTAATACAGTACAAATATATACCCCATCTTTTCTAATTATAAGCCTTTGGAAGTTTTGAAGAATGAGAAATTTTACATTGCTCCTATTTGTTATACAATATACTCTTACATAAAGTTTGTTTAGAGAATGCTTGTTAATGAGTTTTGTAACTCTTCCATTGAAATATAGTATTTTAATGCTTTTCTTAATTCTAGGAAGCTCTACAGAGGATCATTTCAACTCTGGCAAATAAAAATGATGAAATTCAGAACTTTATTGATACACTACATCATACACTAAAAGGAGTTCAGGTATGATTGTTTTATGAAAAATTTTGTGTAAATATGTCACAATGAGCCAAATCTGAAGTACAAATATACTCTATGAATTTTGGGTTATAAACTAATGGAGGTGAGAGCAGAGCTTTAAAATAGCAGATAAAGTAAAAATGTTTTCATTGCAATTCCTGTTTTGTCCATGGAAAAATCCAAATAGTAAGGGAAAAGGAAAACTCTGGAATAGTAGTTGTTAGAAAATACCAGAGTGCTCACTTTAGTCCTTTTCCATTTGACATTTTTTCTAATATAAATTAAGAGCAATTTGTAGTTTTTCAAAAGTGCTGGCAAGTAAAACGTTTCTTTTACAATAAACAATAGAAGAAAAATTTTGGCTACGTGTGATGGCTCATGCCTGTAATCCCAGCATTTTGGGAGGCTGATGCAGGTTGATGGGTTGAGCCCAGGAGTTTGAAACCAGCTTGGGCAACATGGCAAGACACCGTCTCTACCAAAAAAAAAAAAGATACAAAAATTAGCTGGGTGTGGTGGCATACACATGTCATCCCAGCTACCCAGGAGGCTGAGGTAGGAGGATCGTCTGAGCCCAGGACGTCGAGGCTGCAGTGAGCATTGATTGTACCACTGCACTCCAGCCTGGGTAATAGAACGAGACTGCATCTCAAAAAGAAAAGAAAATGTTATTGGTAAGGGGTCTACTTGTAGAAGTAGATGAAAGTAACATAAAAATAAAAGGTAAAGTGCCCATTGAGAAGGGAGAGGAATACTTAAGAAAATAGTTCCAGGTTTGGGGAGATAATCTATATTGTAAGTAGTGACATATTGATTGTGGAAGAGAGAACTCAAGATAATCTGGTTGCTAGAAATGTACAATCTACCAAGACTGAATCAGAAAGAAATAGAAAATCTGAATAGGTCAATAATGAATAAGGAAATTGAATCCACAGTGAAGTCTCCCATCAAAGAAAAGCCTGCAACCTGATGGTTTTACCACTGAAATCTAGCAAATATTTAAAGAACTAATATCAGTTATTCTCAGCCTCTTCCAAAAAAATCAAACAGGAGGGAGTAGTTCCAAATCCATTTTTACAAATTCAACATTATCCCAATAATAAAGCCAAACCAGGGATACTACAAAAGAGAGAAATACAGGCCAGTATTCCTAATCAACATAGATGCAAAAATCCTCAATAAAATACTAGCAAACTGAATTCAGTAGCACATTAAAAAGATCATTTACCATGATCCAGTAGGATTTATGCCTGGGATGCAAGGATGGTTCAACAGAAGTCAATAAATGTGATACACCATATTAACAAAACTAAAGACAAAAAAAAGTGTATGGTTATCTTAGTAGATGCAGAAAAAGAATTTGACAGAATTCAACATCCTTTCATGATAAAGACTCTCAACAAATTAGGTGTAGAAGGAATGTACCACAACACAGTAAAGGCCATATGTATAATAACAATCTCACAGCTACCATCTTATCAAAGGTGAGAAGTCAAAAGCTTTTTCTGTAAAGTCAGGAACAAGACAAAGATGTTTACTCTCACCACTTTTTTTTTTTTTTGAGACAAAGACTTGTTCTGTCACCCAGGATGGAGTGCAATGCCGCAGTCTCAGCTCACTGAAACTCCTGCTTTCCAGGTTCAAGCGATTCTCCTGCCTCAGTCTTTAGAAGACTCTAAAGACTCTACCAAAAAACTGTTAGAACTGATAAATTCAGTAAAGTTACAGAATGCAATATCAACACACAAAAATCAGTATTGCTTCTATACATGAAAAACGAACTATTTCAAAGAGAAAATAAGAAAACAATCCCATTTGCTGTAGCATAAAAAAATAGGAATAAATTTACCTAAGGAAATGAAAGATCTGTATACTGAAAGCTATAAAACACTGATGAAAGAAATTTAAGAAGACAAATGAATGGAAAAATATCCCATGTTTGTGGATTAGAATTAACATTGTTAAAATATTTGTACTACCCAAAGTAATCTACAGATTCATTGTAATCTCTATCCAAATACCAATGTCATTTTCCACAGAAATAGAAAAAATTCTAAAATGTATATAGAACTACAAAAGAACCAGAATAACCAAAATTATCTTTAGCAAAAACAACATTCATGGGAGGCCGAGTCAGGTGGATCACCTGAAGTCAGGAGTTCAAGACCAGCCTGGCCAACATTGTGAAACCCCATCTCTACTAAAAATACAAGAATTAGCTGGTCGTGGTGGCAAGCGCCTGTAATCCCAGCTAGTTGGGAGGCTGAGGCAGGAGAATCGCTTGAACCCAGGAGGTGGAGGTTGCAGTGAGCCGAGATCGCACTACTGCACTCCAGCCTGGGTGATAGAGTGAGACTCTGTCTCAAAAAAAAAAAAAAATAATTATTTTAGCTATCTTGAACTATTTTATTGGAAAATTGGTGAATCAGCTTTCTTTAGATAAGCATAAAACTCATGGCTATAAAGCTCTTGATCTGTGGACAAGCGAATCATCACATTTGGTATCTGGAAAGAGAGATCTTATGTAGAGCTAGCTCAAACCATTCTTCTGATTGATAAATTATTAGAATTCTACCTTAACGTTAGAAAAAAAAAGTAGTGGGGGAATTAAACTACAACCTCGTTGCTGAAGATGGGAGCTTAGTAGTAGGCAAAAGGCAACAAGATGCCATCTGGTGATTGAGAGGAAAATAGTCTGTTTCTTTTTTATGAATGAATAGACTGAGGTCTAGGAATTTAAGTGCCTTGTATAAGGTCATGCTGTTACTGAGTGGCTAATGTGGGATTTGAGTTAGGTTTTTTCCCTTCCTGACTGCACATTCCACTTCTATAGTTGTTCTTACTACTGTAAATAGACTAGTAAAATAATTACCACCACCTTTGATGAGGTGCCTGTGAGGTATCTAGTTTTTATAAACATTATAAGCAAAAGTTTGGACATATAATATTACAGTAGATTGTATATATTAGTTCTCTTAGTCAGTGCCAGTTCGCTTCTCTTAATTGAATGATTCATCCAAGTTGAAAAATGTCTTAAGAGAATTTCTTCTATCTCATAATTGTTGCAAGTGTGGATATTGCTTATCTAGGGATTTTACAAATAATTCAAGTTATTTTTTGTTGAAATAGCAGCAAATATAGCAATGGGGAACTCAAGAGACTTGAAATGCATTATTGACCATGTTACTAGTAACTAATTGTATGGCTTTGGGCAAGTAACTTATCTGTATTTTAGTTAATAAAATACAGGATTTGACTACAAATTCTAGTCATTAGATGATTTAATATTTGATAAATATCTTAGGATCCAATAAATAATTGCTTAGTCTTTTAATTTCTGTTTATCTTACACAAATGCAGTGTTTTAGAGACCCTGAAAGATTTTAAAATTTAGACAAAATCCGCCTCATTTCTGTATGTGCAAAGTGTTCCTCGGAATTACTGAATTAAAATCTCTGGAATATTTTATAAGAATACCTCACCAGTGATTCTGATACGCACCAGAGGTTAAGAACCACTGGCTTAGAGTCTGCCTGAGAGACTGAAGGTCTGGACGAAGTTGGGAACGTTAAAACAACCTTTCATGTTGTCCTGTGGAAACAGTAAAGTGAAGAGAGTATGGGCTAGTCCATAAAAGACAACTTAACTGATAGTATAGCTGAAACAGTATTGTTAGCATTAGCGGGCAGTTTGTTGCATTTATCTCTTTTTAAAGCCTTAAGTCAAATATTAGAATTATGTTATTTTTATATTAGGCCAACATAGTTTGTAATATAAATTTATTCTCTCTTTTGGGCATACCTTTTAGGTTTTAAATGTTTGATAGCGCTTCAGTAAAATTGTTTTGTTTTGTTTTTTAAACAGGAAAATTCGTCCAACATACTCTCAGAGTTAGATGAAGAATTTGATAGTTTATACTCTATACTGGATGAAGTAAAAGAAAGTATGATTAACTGTATCAAGCAGGAACAAGCTCGTAAATCCCAAGAGTTACAGGTGAGATCATACAGCTATTGAAATATGGATAATTTTAGTCTATTTAATCCTTGATTTATGATAAGCAAAAATTAATGAATTTCTAAGTATAACTATACCCTTACCTCGTAGAAGAATGGTTTTTTGTTTTGGCCATAAGTATTCTAAAATTGTTGTTAAAAAAACAATTTATTCTCTTAACCATTTTTTTTTTTTTTTGAGACGGAGTCTCACTCTGTCACCCAGGCTGGAGTGATCTTGGTTCATTGCAACCTCTGCCTCCCAGGTTCAGGCGATTCTCCTGCCTCAGCCTCCCAAGTAGCTGGGATTACAGGTGCCCACCACCATGCCTGGCTAATTTTTGTATTTTTAGTAGAGACGGGGTTTCACCATGTTGGCCAGGCTGGTCTCAAACTCCTGACCTCAGGTGATCCACCCGTCTTGGCCTCCCAAAGTGCTGGGATTACAGGCGTAAGGCACCATGCCCAGCCAATTCTCTTAAACCATTTTAAACTGTACAGTGTACAGTTGATGGTGTTAAATATATTCACATTTTTGTATAACAGATCTCTAGAATTTTTTCATCTTGTGCAAGTGAAACTTTATGTCCCTTGATCAACAACTTATTTCCCCTTCTTACTAGCCCCTGGCAATCATCATGTTATTTTCTGTTTCCATGACTACTCTACATGTCTCATATAAGTGGAATCATAGCATTTGTCCTTTTGTGACCTATTTCCACTCAGCATAATGTCCTCAAGATTTATTCATGTTATATAGCATGTGCTAGGATTTCCTCCTTTTTTGTGGTTGAATAATATTCCACTTATGTATATACCACATTTTCTTTATCCATTTATATGTCTACGGACATTTTGGCAGCTTACACCTCTTAGCTATTGTGAATAATGCTGCAATGAATGTGGGGGTTTAAATATCTCTTTGAGATTCTGTTTTCAATTGTTTTGGATATGTATACTTCAAAGTAGGATTGCTGAATCATGTGGTAATTCTCTTTATAATTTTCTGAGGACCCTCTATATAATGTTTTCCATAGTGGCTGCACTATTTTACATCCTACCAGCCGAAGTGTTCCAATTTCTTCATGTGCTTGCCGGTGCTTTTTATTTTCTGGTTTTTTTTTTGATAGTGGCCATCATAATGGGTATGACATGATATTTCATTACAGTTTTGATTTGCATTTCCCTAGTGACTGGTGATGTTGAGCATCTCTTCACGTGTTTGTTGGCCATCAATGTATTTTCTTTAGAGAAGTGTCTATTCAGGTTCTTTGGCCATCTTTTAATTGGGTTACTTGGGGTTTTTGGTGGTTGTTAAGTTGCAGCAGTTTTCTATTCATTCTGGATATTAACTCCTTATCAGGTGTATGATTCACAGGTTTTTTTTTTTTTTTCCCATTTTGTAGGCTACTTTTTTACTCTGTTGGTTGTTCTATTTGATATAGAGAAGTTTTAAAGTTTTACGTCATCTAATTTGTCTATTTTTGCTTTCATTGTCATATCCAGGAAATCATTGACAAATACAGTGTTATGAAGCTTTTCCTCTATGTTTTCTTCTAGGAGCTTTAGAGCTTATGTTTAGGTCTTTAATCCATTTTTAGTTAATTTTTGCGTATGGTGTTAAGTAAGGGACCTACTTTATTTTTTTGCTTGTGGATATTCGGTTTTCCTAGCACCATTTATTGAAGAGACTGTCCTGTCCCTATTGTTTGGCCTTAGTACCTATGTCAGAGATCATTCGATCATATATGTGAAGGGTAATTTCAGGACTGTCTGTTTTGTTCCATTGGTCTGTGTATCTGTCTTTATGCCAGTACCACATTGTTTGGGTTCCTATAGTTTTGTAAGGTATTTTGAAATCAGGAATGTTGAGGCATTCGACTTTTTTCTCTTTCAAAATTGTGCAATTCAGGGTCCCTTGAGATTCTACATGAATTTTATATATATTTTTTCTGTTCCTACAAAAAATGTCTTGGGATTTTGACAGTGATTACATTGAATTTATAGATTGCTTTGGGTAGTATGGATAGTTTAACAATATTAAGTGTTCCAATCTATGAACATGAATGTCTTTCCCTTTATTTTTGTTGTATATTTCTTTTAGCATTGTATTGTAGTTTTGGGTGTCTAGGTCTCATGCTTTGTTGGTTAAATTTATTTCAAAGTATGCTGTTCTTTTTGATACTATTATAAGTGGATTTTTTCTTTTTTTTCCTTCTTGGATTGTTCATTATTGGTATGTAGAAATGCAAATTTTTGTGTGTTGATTTGAGTTATAGATATCTTTGAGCACCTAAAAGCTGTGGAAAAACACATATGTTGTCTTTCTATCTTACATACACACCATAAAAGCACAATTTCCAAGGATCAGATACTGTATCTTCGAAGTGTGTCCATACTACCCAGGTTGAGGTTTGTTGTTCATATTTGGGGGTGGGGGATGTATTACTTAAATAATTCAAGGATAATTCGTTTATTCATAAAGTTTCCATACATTTCAATAAATACTAATAAGAAATGAATTCATTTAAAAAACAAAACACTGTAGAAGAAAGGACAACTCAGCATCACCTGAAGATCCAACTGAAAACTCATCCTGTGCAGAATTCTGTTCTGTTTTGGACCCAGACCCTTCTTCACAGCACCACTTTGGAATGGCCTTTAAGCATCCAGTTGCTTAATCTCCAACCTTCCCTTTTCCCTCCCTGTACTTTTTCTTTACCAGAGCAGCTCTAATTGTCTTCATCTACCACTAGCCAACATTTCTGTCACCCTAGCTCATACTGCATATTAAACCTGCCACCAAAGTGGCCATGGGTCATGTCTTTTCTCTTGCCTTTCCTTCTTCCCATCAAGTACCAAAAAGTCTTTTGCATATTGAGTGTGCATTATGCATCTTGATCAACCCCCTAGCCATCCCTGGCATGAGTGATGTTCCAGTGCAACTGGTAATATTTTCCCTTTTCAGTTACCTCTCAGTTCCTAGTGCCTCATTGATATCTGTTGTTTGTCGGGACCTTCTTTCTGCTTGAATATATGTGGACAGTTTGTTCTTCTGGCATTGTTAGAGGGGAGCTAGGAGCAGCCAATAGAAACATTTTTAAAACTTGCAGTTTGTTAGATAAAATTGAATTGCGAGCATTCATCTTTAGAGCAGGAACCTTGCCATTTAGGTTTAGAAAAATACTTCCTACTTGTCCCATATTCTTTATGTATCTTGAATTGCTAGTTTTTAATTAATGACAGTGGACTAAGCTTCGCTTAGGTCCCTTTTTGTTTTAAATGATGAGTGTATCTTTACCTGTATGCAGTGAAGCTGTTTTCGATAAATTATGGCAAGAGGTACAAAGTATTAAGATAATTAAAATTTGTTATATATATATAAAAAAAATAACACGTTTTATATATATATATATATATATAACTTGATTATCTTGCTACAATAGCTCACTGAAATGTTTTTCCTCTATTATTGCTATTAAAATTATTTGTAAGTTCATTATAACAATATATATTTAAGATTCTAATGGCAATAGGAAACTTCATTTTAATGACTTAGTTTTTTTTTTTTTTTCCCTAGAGTCAGATTAGTCAATGTAATAATGCCCTGGAGAACTCTGAAGAACTATTAGAATTTGCAACAAGGTCATTAGATATAAAGGAACCTGAAGAATTTTCAAAGGTACACAAAAACTGCATTAATACACTTAACAAGGGAAGTTGTATTTTTAAAAAGGCGTTTTTGTTTTTCTTTAGTTTTGGATTTCTTTACTGATTTCTAATACTAATAAAGCCTTGGGGTTTCTTGATAAGTAAAATGCTGGCTGTTCATTTATTCCAAAGCAAACACTTAGAAGTGTGTGTCTTTAGGGTCATCAACAAATATGTTTAAAAAGTGTTTCTGTGTTTCTGTCTATGAGCTGCTTGGGAAAGCATCATCACTTTATGCACATGAGCACTGTAATTGTGTAACTTCTTATTGCAGATAAATGCCCCCACTGCTTAATTTAAGTAACTGAATGTTTTATTACAACATGGAAATGTAGATCCTTACTTAAGGGATATGTTTAGTATAAAAATGTAAAAAGTAGAGCAAGAAGCCTGCTAATGTTTTAACTTAGATCCTGGTGTTTAAGTGATTGTAAATTGTAAATTGTAATTTTTTTTTTAAGTAGGGTCATTTTAAATGATTACCATTTTGTCAAATCAAAACTCAGAAATGTAGAATATATTTTAAAATGATGTGAAAAGATTTGGAAATTAAGCTATATAATTAGCAAAAATTACTGTGTAGTTATCAAGATAAAATTTGAGTTTGATGTTATTTACTTCACCTTTGTGGAGTATGTAGTGAGCTGCATTGTGTTAGAAAGGTAGCTTTATAACTGATTTATGCCTAGTGATTGTTTTCATTTTATGATTTTCTGTGAACTTGAAGGTAGAAAAAACTTCCTTGAGAAGGTAACATTTGCCACCTTACATCTTTGGATATTAAAATTGAACTTTAATTGATTTCTTCTTTTAAACACATGAATCAAAACAAAAGTTCTTTTGCTGTAAGCCAATGCATGAATTAATTCTTTAAATTTGGAGGTGAGTTGTAAAGAAGCTTACTAATGCACATAGGTGGACTTATTATATAAAGGAATTACAAGGGAAATGTACTATATTTAAAAGTACTTTAAAAGTATGATATGTTGGCCAGGTATGGTGGCTCATGCCTGTAATCCCAGCACTATGGGAAGCCAAGGTGGGTGGTTTGCTTGAGCCCAGGAGTTTGAGGCCAGCTTGGGCAACATGATGAGATCCTGCCTGTACAAAATACACAAAAAAATTAGCCGGGCATGGTGATGTGCACCTGTAGTCCCAGCTACTCGAAGGCTGAGATGGGAGGATTGCCTGAGCCTAGGAAGTTGAGGCTGCACCGAGCTGTGATTACACTGCTGCACTCTAGCCTGGGCAACAGAGCGAGACCCTATCTCAAACAAAACAAAACAAAAAAAGCACTATATCACTTATTTAGAGGGCATTCATGTGATAACCTTAAGTGTCTGGAACATAGCTAAGAAACATGCAGAAAGCAAAAGATGTCTTAGTCATCAAAATCAACATCATAGAGTTCATGGACAAGAGTTAATGTCCTCTATTCAAGATCATTTCTCAGAATCTGTTGACTGTTGTACTTGATACTGCTACTATTTTCAGTATTTTTCTTTCTGTTTTCTACTTGTTAACAAATTCCCCTTTTAGTGGAGTAGGGCAGTTGTTAATGACAGGCATAGTCATAGTAGCAAGAATTACCAACTGACAGCCTAAGAGTGAGGAAGAAGACAGGAAAACTATAGAATGTGGACACTAATACTCAAAAATGCCTTGAATCCAGTTGATTTAAGGAGAGACTGATACTTGGAAAAACTATGATAAAAGTTTATTTCTCCCACGTTTCTCTTTCTATTGACATTTTTAGAGTTCTTCTGTCTTCTTTCTCCCAAATGCTACCCTTTTCTGTTTCACTGTCCTTTATTCTTTCCAGCTTTGTTTCTGTTATAATTTGTTCCTGACAGATTATAAATTAGAAAGGTTCTGATAAAATAAGTCACATTGTGGTTTAATATGCCACTTCGCTTATTCTTACTATTTGGGTCTTGTCTTGCAGCAGTTTATAGTACTGTTTAGTAGCTTAAACCATTTGGAGATGTGGTGAAATGAATTACAACCATGTGTCGCTTAACGAGGATGTCTTCTAAGAAATGTATCATTAGGCAGTTTCATCATTGTGGGAACATTAGAGTGTAATGGCACAAACCTAGACAGTATAGCCTACTACATACCTCAGTTGTATTGTATAGTCTGTTGCTTCTATGCTGCAAACCTGTGTAGCATGTTACTGTACTGAATCCTGTAGGCAATTGCAATACAGTGGTATTTGTGTATCTCAACATAGAAAGGGTATAGTAAAAATACAGTATTATAATTTTATGGGAGCACCATTGTATATGCAGTCCATTATTGACTGAAACGTAGTTATGTGGCACATTACTGTATCTGTCAGTGTTTCCTAGCCAGAAATCTGGGTTTATCATTTAGGAAAAATGCTTAACTGAGAGCTGCTTGCAATTATTTTCTTCATATGTCCAAATAGTATCCAGATAATAATTTGATTTCAAGTAAAAAACTAAGTTCACTTTCCTAGCCAGCTACATGGACTACAGGCCTGCCTCAAACACCTACTTGCTGACTGAATAGGGAGAGATGACTTTGGAGATTATTACTAGTCTAGCAGTATATTGTTAGATGTCTGGAAAAAGAAATTCATTTAAGGTATACTATTTGTGAATATCCCACATTAAAGTGCTTAAATGAGATTAATATGAATGGCCCATGAGGACAAAAAAATAGCATAGGCTAAAAATTGAGGCAGTGTGTCTTTTCATACTTCATTATCTTCAAAAAGAATATTTCAAGTTCTAATATTTAAATTATCACATTGCAGTGTCTCAGCATGAGAACTGAATGTGAAGTTATGCTATTTACTGGCATTTTACTTTCTGAAAGTAAACAAATACAAATAGCACAAATGCAAAAAGATTTTAGAACATACCTTCACTAATTTTTTTTAACTGCTAGAAGTTTGGTTGGTAGTAAATTTATGCAGACGGATCACCAGCAAATGGGATCCAGATCATTAGCTTTATTCCTGGACTTAATAAATTGGCAACATCCCACCAAATGTGCATTCTCTGCTAATAGCTGGCCTGCAGAACACTGCTTGGATCCTTTACCAAAATTAGTATTTCTATTCCCACCCTGACTTTAGACCTTGACTTCTCTCTATAGAAAGAGCTGGGTCAGTGGAACAATTTCCAAGTCAGTGTAACTAAATTGCCATCACAATCATGCCACACATGCTCCGGTTGTCAGAGTAGAAGGGAGAAAATAGTTTCCTATCCATGGGGTCCCTATAATGGAATAAAAAGTACAGTTGGGTGAAAGGGGAACAGTGTCTTCTGCATTTGATCACAGCTGAAGAGGGAGAATGGGTTTAGTGTATTTCCCACATCTCACTTGTAATGAATGATTCGCCTGTAGAATATTGTCCATTGAGTGTTAGGCTCTGACCACTGGAAGGAGTGAATAAGAAGAGGAGTGGGTAGAAGCTCACTCAGTACTTTCATCAAGTAAGCAGAAATACTGCCAGAAGCTCCCTCTGTAGGCTGAAGTTAAGAATGTTAGGAGAGAGGAGAGGACCTTCAACAAAAGCGTGAATGTTTCAGTTTTGAGGACAATATAAAAAAACAGATCTAAATATTTGTTAAGCACAGGTCAAATTGTAGTTTTCACCTTAATTTCATTTCTTGGTGTTTATGTCTTACAGAAATGCAATCTCCTATTGTACAAATATGCCTAATCATAAAACAGTTGCGGACAGTACTGTATTTCAAAGTGTATTTCAAGTTATTCACTGGGGCTTTTGTGACAGATTCTTTCAAATGATCATGCTTTTTGAAAAATAGTTCCTTTTATGAACAGATAAATATATGTCTACCAAATACAAAACTTCTAATGTATGGAATCAACTGGTGTGCAATCTTTTTTTTTCCAAAGACATATTTTTGCCTAAAGGAAAATAAGGCTTTGAGGCTCTTTTTCCCTCTCCCTTTCTATAAAAAGAGAAATGATGATATTAAAAAAAGATAGAAACAATAAGATACTTTATCTTCAAAGTGCTTGATAAATTCACAGAAGAAAATAGTTTCTATATTCACCCATTACAGATTAAGAACAAAAGAGATTGGGAAAAGATCTGTTAACTTTTTTCTATGTGACTGGGAAAATATCTGGTTTAACGTCTTTAAATTTAATTGGCAGTTATGAAGATTGGTTTGCGATTACTTCTTCTTTACTCGTATTACAGTTTCTCTGCATTCATATCAGAGATGGTGCCTTCCTTTCTCCCTCTCTCTCTCTCTTCCCTCATTGCCTCCCTCCATCTCTTAGTTAATTGTTTTTAAACTAAATCTTACAATTCCATTTCTTTAATCAGTCATAGAAGTGTCACCTGAGACCAAACTTCCTTAAGTAGAATTGTAATGCTGAATTTTGTCAAACATCTGTTTAATTAGTACCAGCTGATTCCAAGATTTACCACTGCTCTGTTGCCAACACATTTATTTGAGCCTACATAATTCCATGTAGTGAGTTATGAAGAAGCTGCAATGAATGTTTAGATTTATTTTTAGGTTATGGTACTGTATATTATTGAAAAGCTTCCAAGAAGCTTAGTTATATTACTTTACTCAACATCACTCTTTAGATCTTCTATTGAAATCCTTTCTGCCAATTTTGTAATTGACAAAAGTCACCGTTCTTGAAATAGAGGAATAGAAACTTAGAAGCTGTATAGTATTGTGTATCTTTTGGATACCTTTCTGTTTTGAGAGAATTCTAGAAAAAAAAATTATTTTCCAATTTAAGACATTTCTTGAAATTGGGCCCTTTCAAAGAAATATCTTCAGAATTTGAAACTCTGCCTTCTAATCATTGCTCAGAATAACTTCTTAAACCTCTCTTGCATTTATACAATATATATGCAGTAAAATTTGAACCTAAATGAAAGTGGAGCCATGGGAGTTTTCAGTTTTACTAGCTGGGTATATTCTATGTAAATGCATGGACAACAGTTTTTCCTAGATTATCTGGCTTTTCATTTATTCCTTTCCTGGTTTTTCACAAACAGCATGGTACATGAAGTGATACCATAAAAGCTTTGCATGCATGCATATGTGCACACACACACTAAAAATTTTTACCTTATTAAATTTAGTAACACTTGACACAAAATTGAATCATTGTGGTCAGTTTAAAAAACGGTAATCGTCTTCATATCATTGGGTTATGCAAGGGTGATTGGTAATATTTCTCTAAGTTTGAAACCAGTTAGGAAATAAGACAAAAAAAAACTGATAAGAGGCCAAATAATGATAAAAGCATATTGGAAAAGATGGCTTTTGTTATTGGGCAAGTTTCCCAATACTAAATACCTAGAATTAGACAGACAAATTCACCCAGGCATGATCAGCAGGGGCTGCCTCAGGTGATGGGCAGGGGGAGCCTCTTTCAGTGAAAGTTATGGTACAGAGGGAAAGAACAGAATATATGTTATCTGTGGGCAAGCAAGCTGTGAGAAAAAGCAGAAAGTCTAGTTTCTCCTTTCAAACCCATTATCAGATAAGTCATATCATTTTCCTAGGAGAAATAAGGGAATGGAGAGGCAAAGAGTAATCCTGGTAGTACTTGTTTCATATCAGGTACAGAGAAGAGTCCTTTCTTTCCTTCCTTTAACACTTACATTAAAATCTTTGTTTTGTAATTCCAGCTTTAATGATAGTAATTAAAAAATCAATTAAATTAACTTTTTAAACATTTTCTATCTCTGGTACTACAGTAGTTTCATGACTTAAGATACAGATTCCACAGAATTTGTTTGTTTGTGTAGCACGTGGGAATGATTTTCGGAAACATTAAGAAACAAAATTCCTTAGAAAAGAAATAGAATGATTAATATACAAGGTCTCAACTGATTAATAGTAATGCTGAGACTGTATAATATGCTGATCTCTTAAATCTCAGTTCTGTGTTGCCTGGGTGTGCTGGCTCATGCCTGTAATCCCAGCACTTTGGGAGGCTGAGGCAGGCGGATCACGAGGTCAGGAGATCAAGACTGTCTTGTCTAACATGGTGAAACCCCGTCTCTAATAAAAATACAAAAAAATTTGCCGGGCGTGGTGGCGGGTCCCTGTAGTCCCAGCTACTTGGGAGGCTGAGGCAGGAGAATGGCATGAACCCGGGAGGCAGAGCTTGCAGTGAGCCAAGATCGTGCCACTGCACTCCAGCCTGGGCGACAGAACAAGACTCTGTCTCAAAAAGAAAAAATCTGAGTTCTGTGTTTTTGAGTAGAAAGAGTCCTCAGACCAGAATGTTTTAGGGTGGATATAAAAATGACCAATAATGAATAGGAACAACGTTAGAACTGAAGAAGAGAGGCCACAGAAGCATTGCTACATATATCTAATTAACATTCAAATAAGTTTAATAATTATTAAGTATTACTATGTCCTAAGCATTTTTGCTAGGCACTGGGGATACAGTGTTGAGCAAAACAGCCTTGTCTATGTCTGATATATTGTTAACTGTACTGGTTACTGTGGAGAAAAAAACTTTTGTTGGATATATTGTATGTAAATATAAAAGGGACAACAGTTTTTACTTGTTTTTTATTATTTTGTGTGACCATGCAGCCCCAAGTAAATAGCTGAGTTCCCTTTCTAAACTTGTGCTTGCATAAAAAAAAAAGACAAAAGAGATACCTTATATATAGGTTTAAGTTGGTAGCATGTATGAAATCATCATGGAGAAAGACCCCATTGCTAGAAGTATTTCTCTGGTCTCTTTGTGTCTGAATTTCTGCCATTACAACTTTCTTTGGAGTAAAGGTTTATAGAATTGCAGCCTAGTTGTATTTGTTAGCAGGCAAACTCTGAGAATTCCTTGCCCTATAGAGGCATATAGAGAAAACTTGGAACAACGATTATGAAGTAGTGAAAGAGATCTCTGAAGAAAAATTAGAGAGTAAATTTGACATGTACAAGAAAACCATGAAGGAAGTTGTCCCATGAAGGAGATTGGTTGCTCTAGTTGATGAGTATCAGACTGAATGAAAGTGGAGGTGTGTTTTGATAATCTTAAGGTAAGAATAAAACATTTATAGTCACCTGGAATTTGTTCGAAGTGTTAAATTTTCCTCCTAAAAGGTGATTTTTGTGGGGTCTGGATTTTCTACTATAATTCTAACATCACATGAAAGCTTATGTGAACTATACACATAAATTTTCTATAGTTTGTGTTTTGGTGAATATGAACTAATCTGTTGCAGGGTTTATATCCTAACTTTTCTTGCATGTCACTGCCATTGAAACTTGCATGAAAAGCACTAACTTGCCTTCTTTCTCTTCTCCCTGATTGGCTCCAAGGCTGCCAGACAGATCAAGGATAGGTATGGTATAAAACACATTTTTACTTAAGTATAAATATTGAAGTCAGAAATGAAATTCAGAAATAGTTTTTTAATTAAAATTGTGTTAGTTAAGATAAAAGTACCCAATGACCAAGTACAAAATAAAATGTCCTCTGTGTATTTTCTTGGAATAACCATTGTATCAATAAAATTTTTTAAAAGCATAGTTGTGGATAATTATGTGCTTCAGAAGAATTTCATTTCTGGTGTAGAAATATAGTTAGTTTTAGTTTTAGAACAGTTCTTAATTAGTTGTACTAATGAAAAGGGAACTATTTTGAATAACTTAAAAATATATATTTCTGGAATGTGTTTTTTGTTGTTAAATTTAAATGTAAGTGGGTCTTATTTTCTTTGAACTCACTCATTTTAAGTAGTCCTCAAGAACTAAAGCGCTCCTATTTCACTGCCCTCCTGTTTAACACCTTGTATTCTCATTCCATCCTGTTCCTGGTGCCATCTCTTTCTATTTCTAATGCCACCACTATCTAGTTAATATTCTGTGGGAAGAGAAAATTAAAGAAAATTATTAAAGGTTTTGGTTTAAAAGTTCTTTCTTATTGGTAGAGCCAGGCTTAAGAAAAGGAATTTAGTACTTGTAATGAACATAGATTGCTAAAGGAGTTGCTGGCAACATTTGGATTGCATTAACACAGAAGGAACAGTTTGGATCTGCCTGTCTAGTCACTGAGTATTGTCTGTATTGAGATTATAGCAAGTTTTTTCATCTGAGGGTCATGAGATTCTCTGAAAGGCACAGCTCTTCAAAGTGCCACTCCAAATCCTAGATTAAATTATTCTTCATCAGATAATTCACAAAAATTTTCATTATAGATTATGTGAAAAACAGTGCCTCTATTGTTAATCTTGGCTGACAGTTTTACTTCTGGGTTTCTCTTTTTTTTTTTTTTTTGAGGCAGAGTCTTGCTCTAGCACCCAGGCTGGAGTGCAGTGGTGCGATCTTGTCACACTGCAACCTCTGCCTCATGGGCTCAAGTGATCCTCCACCTCATCCTCCTGAATAGGTGGGACTACAGGCATGTGCCACCACACCCAGCTAATTTTTGTATTTTTTGTAGAAACAGGGTCTTGCTATTTTGCCCAGGCTGGTCTGGAATGCCTAAGCTCAAGCTATCCGCCCAACTTGGCCTCCCAAAGTGCTGGGATTACAGGTGTGAGCCATTGTGCCTGGTCCTGTATTAATTTTTATATTTTTTGTATATTTTACATCAGGCAGTAGCTAAAGACATGGATCATTCTTATAAATCCTGGATCTAGAAAGATGATTGTGAAAGTTTGAAGGTGAAAAATATTAGCTGTGTGAGGAATGGATGCTAGATAGGTCAGTTTTGTGGATAAGGTAGATTTGGGTTGTGTCTGGAAATTGCTATGAGTCATCCATCTTCCTCCCTGGGTATATTATACTTACTGTTTAGCTACCTATCCCACTGCATCCTGCTCTAGTTCCTAATTTTCTGAATTAGAAGTTACTTCCTAATCATGACCTTGCAAAATCTGTCCTTTTTTCAAGATTCTATATGGCTCTTTGCATCACAGAATCTTGTCTGTATCCTTAAACTCTTTGTCTTTGCCCAGATTTGTTTATCAGAATTTAATTTCATGACCAATTTCAATGGCTGTATTCTTCACTGAAGCTTGGGTTTTTTGCGTCTTCTAAGCCAGCCTCTTGGCTTGATTTCATAAGTATCCAGGTGATCTCAGGAATTAGGGTTCAGGCAAACTCTGTGTGTGTGTGTGTGTGTGTGTGTGTGTGTGTGTGTGGTTCTTTTTTTTTTTTTTTTTTTTTGCTTGTTCAAACCCTATAGCATTTTTGTGATCCCCTGCAGAATTTTTACTTCCTGCCCGAGGAACATTTCTGATTCTCAACTTAATTTTTTTTTTTTTGAGACAGAGTCTTGCTCAGTTGCCCAGGCTGGAGTGCAGTGGTGCAATCTTGGCTCACTGCAGCCTCTGCCTCCCGGGTTCAAGCGATTCTCCTGCCTCAGCCTCCCAAGTAGCTGGGATTACAGGCACCTGCCACCACACCCAGCTAATTTGTGTGTGTGTGTGTTTTGTAGAGATGGGGTTTCACCATGTTGGCCAGGCTCGTCTCGAACCCCTGACCTCAAGTGATCTGCCCACTTCGGCCTCCCAAAGTGCTGGGATTACAGGTGTGAGCCACTGTGCCCGGCCCTTCAACTTAATTTTTAAAATTTGATGTTTAGCTTTATAATGTTCAGGTTTCTCTGATGTAGTTTTTGGTACTCGCCAAAAGTGAGCTTTTAGAATTCCATTATTGTCATTTAAAATATAAAAATAATTTAAACGTAGTCATAATAAAATAATTACTGTAGCTATTTTCACCAAGCAAAGAAAGGATTTTTTTTTTTTTTGGGTCAGGGTCTTGCTCCATCACCCAGGCTGGAGTGCAGTGGCACAATCACAGCTTACTGCAGCCTGGACCTCCCTGGCTTAAGGGGCCCTTCCACCTCTGCCGCCTGAGCAGCTGGGACTGCAGGCACGTGCCACCATGCCCCGTTAATTTTTTTGTATCTTTTGTAGAGATGGGGTTTCGCCATGTTGCCTAGGCTGGTCTCAAACTCCTGGGCTCAAGCTGTCCTCTCGCGTCAGCCTTCCGAAGTGCTGGGGTTACAGATATGAGCCACCATGTCCGCCCTAGGATTATCTTTTTATAAGGGCATAGATGGATTTTAAGGGAGAATGTGTAACATATCTGAGCAAGAAATCAAATATAAAAAATGAAAATGTCTGTGAAAACTCATCATTTATCATTTGCTATGGTAGAAGTTACACAGAGGAACAGCAGGATTAAGAGAGAAAACTCAAGATAGAAATAAGATAATAGCACATCTCTATAACTTTATAGAATTACTGGCATGTACTTCTGGGGACTTAATAATATTGGAATATGATTAGTTGAGGTATATTGCAGGAGTTATTGGTTCTTGAAAGAGAGGGGTTATGAAAGAGTCAAGTTAATTAGGTAGTTTGAGGAAATGAAAACTATGTTTTGTAGTTATTTTCTCTTTGCAAAAATCAGGAGCGAAGGATCCTTGAATTTACCTTGTGCTGGTAGAAATGAACTAAGAAAATCAAGGGGAATTAAAGCATACCTAGCCTTCTGGATCCTGTAGTGTAGAGAATTATCTAATGAATTTTAGATGTTTAGTTTGGGCTTTGAGGCACATGTCTAAATACATGAAGTTAAAAATTAAAGTTCAGTCTTCTGAAAGATTGTAGCATTGTTGCCCATCTAAATTGATTCATGGAAACTTAAGTTTTCATTGACTAAAAAATAAGAGTTGTTCTTGTTTTTTTTAAAGCTTTGATAAGCCTTTCTAATGCATTTATGGGGCATATTCTTTTTCTTTGATGTCATGGTGATTGAATCAAATCTTACAGGTTTAAGGTTTAAAATTCTCTAAAATACTTTCGGATTTTTTTTCTCAACATTTCTCAGTAAACATTTAAATATCTAGTCAGGTTTTGAATAAACCAAGTAGGTTCTAACCTATGCACTGATTCAGTGAGCATTTAGTAAGTACGTATCTGACTATAGCTCTTTCAGATGTCCTCGAATCAAAAGATACTTGGGGCTGTAAAGAATAACATATGTAGGACTTAGTATTTGTTCCTTTTTATTGAAATTGTATTATTTGAGAGACGGGTTAGTGTAGTATGCATGAAATACTCAGCATTATACTTGGCATATAGTAAGCAGTCAGTGTGAATTCCCTTTGCTGTAAATTATATTTCAGTATAGCACTTTCTTCTTGATAAACACATCAACTGTTGTTTACTCATTGTTACTATTAAATTATTACTAGTTTTAAAATGAAGTAAAATAACTAAATACAGAAATAGCTTGACATTTTTCATCCTAAAATAAGTGAATATAGCAAGTTTGACATCTTTCATTTCATTGACTTCTTGGGTAGATTTGGCAGATCCAATTGATTTGGCAGATACAATTGACTAGGCCTAGTATTCCCCTTGTCCCACCAGCTCTGTTTCCTTCCCCTTCCAAATTGTGTACTAGGAGGACAGTGTTCACCTGTAGTACTTCTGATCATTCTTGAACCAAAGATAGTAAGGGGCTTACTTTGTGATACTTGTGGAAATTTATTGGAATATGAAAAATTGAAATTTGAGATAAAATTAAAAATTAATAGAATAAGAGGATTTCTTTTAATCTTCAGTTTTAATGGACTACAGATTCTCTGTACTTTGGATAAAGTGGCTTCATTCTTTTTTTGTTTTTCCCTCCACATTCATCTAGTAAATGTTTATTGAATTCCTGTTACTTCCATGGCATATACTTTTTCACAGGGCTGTTTCTTACAGTAGGCTTCCCTATAGCTGATGTTGATAGATCAGAGTGACACCTAGTGTGGTATTCATTGATAGTGATTTCACTTCTCTCTTTTCTTATCCATGGCCTATCTTTAGCAACTACCAAACTATACAATATTAGGTCAATCTACCTCTACTCTTATTTGAGGGTACATGGGATAGCTCTTATTACTAGGGAGAATATTTGAATCAAGGTGTGATTCAAATGAATATAAATGAATTTAAGTTCATTATCTGGCATATGAAAAGGAGTAAGGCTGGCATCAGGAAGTCAGTAAGATTGAGTGTACAGAGGTTCAGATGAATGTTGAGTCTGGTAAGGATTATTTTTATTGGATATTTGTTGTTATTCATATATATGCAATTTAATAAAAATTGGCTGGGAGGAAAGTTGCTAACCAGTTGTCTTAAATGTCTTTAAAAAGACATTTTGTAGTTTTTTATTTAGTTAATTTTGAAGACTAAGATTAAATTTCTATTTCACTTTTAACTTTTATTATAGTCTCTGAAATTATTAGTGATATAATTTGTCTTTTCATTTTATAAATTAAATATGATTTGATACTTCCTATTTCTTTATTTTAAAAAGTATGTTTGTGTTTACCGTAGAGTCACAATGGCTTCAGCCTTTCGCCTTTCTTTGAAACCAAAGGTCAGTGACAACATGACTCATTTAATGGTGGATTTCTCACAGGAAAGACAGATGCTGCAAACTTTGAAGTTTTTGCCAGGTAAATACATGTATTACATGTAAAGTTTTGTATAAAACTTTTTTTTTTCTACAAGATTTTTTTGCAGTGAACATTGGTTTGTAAATATTAAGGAAGTATAGTGTGATTTTTTTTTCATTCAGCTAAGGAATAATTAAATTTGCTAGTTTTTTTTTATTTTTAGAGATTTTATTGGTAGTAAAAATTGCATTTTCAGAATCCTATCAAGGGATCTCTTATTGTTAGCTTGGCAGAGGGAAGCAGTATGGTGTGATGGTTAGCAGTGGGTCTCAAGGCCAGACTTCTTAGGTTTGAATCCTATTGCTTACTTGCTATGTAATCTTGAACAATTTACTTAACTTGCTTCATTTTTAACATCTTTAAAATGCGATGTTATTCTTCTAGGGTGTTTATAAGGATTAAATAAATTGATACCTCTAAAATATTTATAATAGTACCTGCACATAGTTAAAATTCAGTGAATGTTAGGTGTTATCATTATTATTATTGTGGTTGTTGGCTCAGATGGAACTTTATCTTCAGTAATATGTTAACATTATTTTATTAAAGTATTAACATGAGGATATTGCAGTAGCCAAAACCATTTGTGATTGAGTCCTAAATTATTCACATATGTAAAAGAGCCAATTAAGAACCAATCTTAGTCTGTTTTGTGTTGCCATAACAGAAGGCCTGAGACTGGGTAATTTATATAAAGAAAAGAGGTTCTCTAGGCTGAGAAGTTCAAGACTGGGCAGCAATATCTGGCAGCTTCTGGTGATAGCCTCATGCTATGTCAAAACATGATGGAGCATAGAAGGGGAACCAGACACATGCAAAAAAGGCAAAACAAGAGAGTTAACCTCACTTTGTAAGAACCTTCTTTCACAAGAACTAACCCAGTCTTTTGAGAAAGACATTAATCCATTGTAATGACCTAATCACCTCTTAAAGGCACCACTTCCCAACACTGCCATATTGGTGACCAAACTTCAACATGAGTTTGCTGGGGACAAGTCAGGAATATGACTTAACAACCTTTTGGTTAGGTGTTTTTTTTTTTTTTTTTTTTTTTGCATCATGTTGCTGATAACTAAAACTATTTAGATATGGTGATTTGAGGGATCAAGGAATTTCTTGAAAGTGACATGTTTTCCTTACAAGTACTTTTTTTTTTTTTGAGACGGAGTCTTGCTCTGTCACCCAGGCTGGACTGCAGTGGCACGATCTCGGCTCACTGCAAGCTCTGCCTCCTGGGTTTGCGCCATTCTCCTGCCTCAGCCTCCCAAGTAGCTGGGACTACAGGCAGCCGTCACCAAGCCTGGCTAATTTTCTGTATTTTTAGTAGAGACGGGGTTTCACCATGTTAGCCTGGATGGTTTCGATCTCCTGACCTCGTGATCCGCCCGCCTCGGCCTCCCAAAGTGCTGGGATTACAGGCGTGAGCACAAGTACTTTTTTTTTTGGAGTCTGTTTTTGAATAGAGAATGTTGATTATATGGAACCATTCCTTTTTTCCTTGAATATATGGTCAGTGACTTTAAAATACGATTGGAAAAACAAGTTAGTAGTTCTCACACTGTAATGGAACCTAGGAAGGGGGTAGCACAAGTGAAATACTAATTTGTGTGATATAGATTAGAAGCTCTAGAGGAGTTCATAAAATGAAAAGATGAGAGAAGGAACTGTAGTTGTAGAGGAAGAAAGTGTACTTGTCATTGGCTGTTTACCTAAACATTGGCCTTTCAGAATTTCTATATTTTCATTCACAGGGCTCTACTTAAGAGTAAAACTGATATTAAAGCAGGAATAAATATTTTTAAAAGTTTTATTTTGATTACCGTATAATTTAAAATGGTTTGTTCTTTTCAATCTGACATGTAGAATTTCATTGGTAAGAAGCTGGATTTTATTTTAGTTTTGAAAATTTGAGGTGGCACAGGTTACCAGTTAACTGATGTTTTACTTTTAAGTAGAACACTTTCATGTTCACTCTTGGGAGATAGGGACTTAAATTTCAGACTGGGGAATATATCTCCAAATGTGAACTTTCTTACTTAAGAAAGGAAAATAGGAAATATGTTTAGAAGTCACATTAACCATATGTCTCTACTTACCACCAGTATGACCCTAAAACTTCAGAATTTCACCCTTCTTCATATAGCTATCAGATGTAGAACATTCCTAATATAATTTCCATCTGAGTGGAGAGCAAAGAAAAATTTCAGCAACTTAGAGAGGAAAGTTGTCCTTTCCTGCTTATCTGTTTACATATTAAAGTTACTTTAGTATTTTTGTTGGAAAAAAATATATGCATGTGGTAAACAGTTAAAGTAGTACAAAAGAGTATAAAGTAGCCCTCTCATCTCAGACTTCCAATTTTCTTCCCTAGGAGCTACCAACATTAACTAGCATGTGCTTATCTTTCTAGAAACAGTCTATGCCTGTAAAAGTGTCATCATATAGACAGAATCATGTAATTGGTAATTTTTGGCGATATCATGTGATTAAACCTAACATATAATTCACCTCCTTTAAAAAGATGGAAGCATATAGTACAGCAAGAACTCAAAAAAAGGAAGCATACATATACATTGTTATATAATTTTGCTTTGCCACTTAACAGTATGTAGGAGTTCATTCCAGATCACTGTACATCACTTTATTTTTTTTCATGACTAGATAGTATGAATGTAATTAGTTCTTGATGAGTATTTAGGTTTATAGTCTTTTCATTAGAAACAATGCTGAAATGATCAAATACTTGTATATATTTGCAGAGAGGTGCCACTATCTCTTGAGGACAAATTCCTGGAAGTGGAAGTACATTTTTATTTTAAATTTGGGTAGATTTTAAGTTGTCAAAGAGATTTCACAGTTTATATGTACTGGAAAATATTTGAATGCCTGTATTGTTATACTGCTGCAAACACTGCTGTCAGGTTTTTTTTTTTTCCTATTCTAATAGGTGACAAATGTGTTATGATTGTTTTAATTTTCATTTCTTTAAGTATGAATGAGTTTGTGCTTTTGTCATATTTTCATAAGCCACTTTAAAAATGAGCTCCCTATTTATGAATTTTGTCAAATTTTCATGGGATTGTTAGTCTTTTTATTAATGATATGTAGGGTAGGACCTTTTAATGTATTAAGGAAGTCAACCTTTGTCCTATGTGGTGTATATCCTTGCTCACCTTGATCATTTGCCTGTTGAATTTATGGTGATTTTTTTTCCTAGCAAAATTTTTAATTTTAGTGCAGTCAAATACATCACAATTTTCTTTTGTGACTCTTAGATTTTATAAAGGTCTTACTTAGAAAGACTTCACTATTGCAAGATTGTAAAAATACACATATTTTCTTACATTTGTAGCTTTTTAAAAATAAACTGTAGTTTTAGAGCAGTTTTAAGTTTACAGTAAAGTTGAATGAAAGGTATGGAGATTTCTCATATACCTTCACACATGCATAGCCTTCTTCACTATCAATGTCTCCCACCAGAGTGGTATATTTATTACAATTGATGAACCTACACTGACACATCATTATCACTGAAAAGTCTATAGTTTACATTGGGGGTTCCCTCCTGGTATTGTACATTTTATGGGTTTGGGCAGATGTATACTGGCATGTATCTGCCATTGTATTACCATACGGAGTATTTTCACTGCCCGAAAAATCCGCTGTGCCCCATATTTTCATCGTTCCTTACTCCCAGTCAATGGCAACCACTGATCTATTTACTCTCTCCATAGTTTTGCCTTTTCCAGAATCTTGTATAGTTGGAATCATATAGTAAGTAGCCTTTTCACATTGCTTTCTTTTACTTAGTAATATGCATTTAAGTTTCCTCCATGTATATTGATGACCTGATAGCTCATTTCTTTTTAGTATGGAATAATAGTCCATTGTCTAGATGCGCCATGGTTTATTCATTTATACACTGAAACACATGTTGATTACTTCCAACTTTGGGCAGTTATGAATAAGGCTACTATAAACATCTGTATGCACATTTTTGTGTAGACATAAGTTTTCAACTCCTTTGGATAAATGCCGATTACTGAATAGTATGGTAAAAGTGTGTTAAATTTTATAGAAGACTACCAAACTGTCTTCCTAAGTGTCTGTATGATTTTGCATTCCCACAAGCAATGAATAGAGTTCTGTTGCTTCACATTTTCACCAATTGGTGGTATTGTGGTATTTTATTGTTTTTTAAAATTTCAATTTCCCTAATGACATATTATGTGAAGGATCTTTTTATATACTTACTGTCTGTATGTCTTTTTTGGTGAGATGTCTGTAAGGTCTTTGGCCTATTTTTTTTACATTGGGTTTTTTTTTTTTTTTTGGTACTACTTATGTTTTTATTAAGGCATGATATAAAGTTGGAAATCAAGTTCTTCATAAGTACTGATACTGCTAACACAAACCGTGAGGTGATGGCAAATATTATACTATGAATTACTCATCATTTTATTCTAAACCTTCTTACAGCCAGAGAAATTTACAATTCCACATGTACAATTTTTTTAAGTTATAATTGTTATCTGTCAATTGAGAAAAGCATTAAGATTAAGATGACAATGACTATATCAGCTGACTATTATAAATAGACTCTCAGAAACTAAGGAAAATGTGTTTACTGACATAGATGTAGAGTATTCATAATCTTAAAACTGGCTGAAATGCACCAGGTATACAAATATAGCCAATCCTCCCACCTATTAGGTAAAATGCATGGTGAAGCCTACATATGCCTTTTTTGGGGCCCACTGATCTACGATAAGAAACTTTTGTAAATATTGCTTTGGAGTTCTGAGTAAAAATTTCTAATCACTGTTTGTGACAAGGTCTTTGTATGTAGAGTTAATTACTGAAACAGCATGCATATCTCAAATAATACAAATTATATTTAAAGAAATGTTTGGAAGAGCTAAAAATAAACAAAAGAAAGCAAAATAAAATAGTCTGTAAATTCACCTCAGCCTGCTGAATTCTTTGCAGTTTTATGTTTTTTTATTTTATTATTATTATACTTCTAAGTTTTAGGGTACATTTGTACAATGTGCAGGTTAGTTACATATGTATACATGTGCCATGCTGGTGTGCTGCACACATTAACTCGTCATTTAGCATTAGGTATATCTCCTAAAGCTATCCCTCCCCACTCCCCTCACCCCACAACAGTCCCCAGAGTGTGATGTTCCCCTTCATGTGTCCATGTGTTCTCATTGTTCAATTCCCACCTATGAGTGAGAATATGCGGTGTTAGGTTTTTTGTTCTTGTGATAGTTTACTGAGAATGATGATTTCCAGTTTCATCCACGTCCCTACAAAGGACATGAACTCATCATTTTTATGGCTGCGTAGTATTCCATGGTGTATATGTGCTACGTTTTCTTAATCCAGTCTATCATTGTTGGACATTTGGGTTGGTTCCAAGTCTTTGCTATTGTGAATAGTGCTGCAATAAACATACGTGTGCATGTGTCTTTATAGCAGCATGATTTATAGTCCTTTGGGTATATACCCAGTAATGGGATGGCTGGGTCAAATGGTATTTCTAGTTCTAGATCCCTGAGGAATCACCACACTGACTTCCACAAGGGATGAACTAGTTTACAGTCCCACCAACAGTGTAAAAGCGTTCCTATTTCTCCACATCCTCTCCAGCACCTGTTGTTTCCTGACTTTTTAATGATTGCCATTCTAACTGGTGTGAGATGGTATCTCATTGTGGTTTTGATTTACATTTCTCTGATGGCCAGTGATGGTGAGCATTTTTTCATGTGTCTGTTGGCTGCATAAATGTCTTCTTTTGAGAAGTGTCTGTTCATGTCCTTCGCCCACTTTTTGATGGAGTTGTTTGTTTTTTTCTTGTAAATTTGTTTGAGTTCATTGTAGATTCTGGATACCTGCCCTTTGTCAGATGAGTAGGTTGCGAATATTTTCTCCCATTTTGTAGGTTGCCTGTTCACTCTGATGGTAGTTTCTTTTGCTGTGCAGAAGCTCTTTAGTTTAATTAGATCCCAGTTGTCAATTTTGGCTTTTGTTGCCATTGCTTTTGGTGTTTTAGACATGAAGTCCTTGCCCATGCCTATGTCCTGAATGGTAATGCCTAGGTTTTCTTCTAGGGTTTTTATGGTTTTAGGTCTAACGTTTAAGTCTTTAATCCATCTTGAATTGATTTTTGTATAAGGTGTAAGGAAGGGATCCAGTTTCAGCTTTCTACATATGGCTAGCCAGTTTTCCCAGCACCATTTATTAAATAGGGAATCCTTTCCCCATTTCTTGTTTTTCTCAGGTTTGTCAAAGATCAGATAGTTGTAGATATGCAGCGTTATTTCTGAGGGCTCTGTTCTGTTCCATTGATCTATATCTCTGTTTTGGTACCAGTACCATGCTGTTTTGGTTACTGTAGCCTTGTAGTATAGTTTGAAGTCAGGTAGCGTGATGCCTCCAGCTTTGTTCTTTTGGCTTAGGATTGACTTGGCGATGTGGGCTCTTTTTTGGTTCCATATGAACTTTAAAGTAGTTTTTTCGAATTCTGTGAAGAAAGTCATTGGTAGCTTGATGGGGATGGCATTAAACCTGTAAATTACCTTGGGCAGTATGGCCATTTTCATGATATTGATTCTTCCTACCCATGAGCATGGAATGTTCTTCCATTTGTTTGTATCCTCTTTTATTTCATTGAGCAGTGATTTGTAGTTCTCCTTGAAGAGGTCCTTCACATCCCTTGTAAGTTGGATTTCTAGGTATTTTATTCTCTTTGAAGCAATTGTGAATGGGAGTTCACTCATGATTTGGCTCTCTGTTGTTGGTGTATAAGAATGCTTGTGATTTTTGTACATTGATTTTGTATCCTGAGACTTTGCTGAAGGTGCTTATCAGCTTAAGGAGATTTTGGGCTGAGACAATGGGGTTTCCTAGATATACAATCATGTCGTCTGCAAACAGGGACAATTTGACTTCCTCTTTTCCTAACTGAATACCCTTTATTTCCTTCTCCTGCCCAATTGCCCTGATCAGAACTTCCAACACTATGTTGAATAGGAGTGGTGAGAGAGGGCATCCCTGTCTTGTGCCAGTTTTCAAAGGGAATGCTTCCAGTTTTTGCCCATTCAGTATGATATTGGCTGTGGGTTTGTCATAGATAGCTCTTATTATTTTGAGATACGTCCCATCAATACCTAATTTATTGAGAGTTTTTAGCATGAAGGGTTGTTGAATTTTGTCAAAGGCCTTTTCTGCATCTATTGAGATAATCATGTGGTTTTTGTCTTTGGTTCTGTTTGTATGCTGGATTACATTTATTGATTTGCGTATATTGAACCAGCCTTGCATCCCAGGGATGAAGCCCACTTGATCATGGTGGATAAGCTTTTTGATGTGCTGCTGGATTCGGTTTGCCATTATCTTATTGAGGATTTTTGCATCAATGTTCATCAAGGATATTGGTCTAAAATTCTCTTTTTTGGTTGTGTCTCTGCCCGGCTTTGGTATCAGGATGATGCTGGCCTCGTAAAATGAGTTAGGGAGGATTCCTTCTTTTTTATTGATTGGAATAGTTTCAGAAGGAATGGTACCAGTTCCTCCTTGTACCTCTGGTAGAATTCGGCTGTGAATCCATCTGGTCCTGGACTCTTTTTGGTTGGTAAGCTATTGATTATTGCCTCAATTTCAGAGCCTGTTATTGGTCTATTCAGAGAATCAACTTCTTCCTGGTTTAGTCTTGGGAGGGTGTATGTGTCGAGGAATTTATCCATTTCTTCTATATTTTCCAGTTTATTTGCGTAGAGGTGTTTGTAGTATTCTCTGATGGTAGTTTGTATTTCTGTGGCATCAGTGGTGAGATCCCCTTTATCATTTTTTATTGTGTCTATTTGATTCTTCTCTCTTTTCTTCTTTATTAGTCTTGCTAGGAGTCTATCAATTTTGTTCATCCTTTCAAAAAACCAGGTCCTGGATTCATTAATTTTTTGAAGGGTTTTTTTGTGTCTCTATTTCCTTCAGTTCTGCTTTGATTTTAGTTATTTCTTGCCTTCTGGTAGCTTTTGAATGTGTTTGCTCTTGCTTTTCTAGTTCTTTTAATTGTGATGTTAGGGTGTGAATTTTGGATCTTTTCTGCTTTCTCTTGTGGGCATTTAGTGTTATAAATTTCCCTCTACACACTGCTTTGAATGTGTCCCAGAGATTCTGGTATGTTTTGTCTTTGTTCTCATTGGTTTCAAAGAACATCTTTATTTCTGCCGTCATTTTGTTATGTACCCAGTAGTCATTCAGGAGCAGGTTGTTCAGTTTCCATGTAGTTGAATGGTTTTGAGTGAGTTTCTTAATCCTGAATTCTAGTTTGATTGCACTGTGGTCTGAGAGACAGTTTGTTATAATTTCTGATATTTTACATTTGCTGAGGAGAGCTTTACTTCCAAGTATGTGGTCAATTTTGGAATAGGTGTGGTGTGGTGCTGAAAAAAATGTATATTCTGTTGATTTGGGGTGGAGAGTTCTGTAGATGTCTATTAGGTCCACTTGGTGCAGAGCTGAGTTGAATTCCTGGATATCCTTGTTAACTTTCTGTCTCGTTGATCTGTCTAATGTTGACAGTGGGGTTTTAAAGTCTCCCATTATTATTGTGTGGGAGTCTAAGTCTCTTTGTAGGTCACTCAGGACTTGCTTTATGAATCTGGGTGCTCCTGTATTGGGTGCATATATATTTAGGCTAGTTAGCTCTTCTTGTTGAATTGATCCCTTTACCATTATGTAATGGCCTTCTTTGTCTCTTTTGATCT